>NC_000012.12:39429824-39581340 GCF_000001405.40 Homo sapiens | reverse complement strand
CTTTTCACTCCAGATATTTTTTATTGATAATTTTTCATATATTGTATTACCTTTATTGTATGTCTTTGCTTATTTAATTTTTGGAGTAACACTTTCACATAATTCATAAATGAAAGGGCATTTTTAAATGTGCTCTAAAAAATTCTTCCAATTCCTGTTGCCTTCCATCCAGTTGCACCTATCCCCATCAGGCAACCATTGTTTTGTTTCTTTTTTATGCTTTTATACATTTTTTAATGCAATGTACTTTGTAGTGGTAATTTTAAAGGAAGAAGATGGTAAGAAACATAAAGATGCATTTTATGTTTAACAGTTAATATATGTTATTTCATCAAAGCCTCTAAACTTTTGGATTTCAAAAACAAGTCCAAATTTTTCTTCTCACCAGCAAAAGAATCAAATAATCATTTTTGATAATTTGACTTTTCAGATACACAGTACACATAAAGCAATGAGGGCTATTTTCTTTCCTGTTGACCAAGATTATTTCAAAATTTAGTGGTAAAAATTTCAAAATTTTAATGGTAAAAATTCAGCTGAGCAAGTAAAAAGATGACAGAGAACATGGATTTTTTCCAAAGATGAGAGTTAATCCCTGAACACTTAGGATTTAGAAATTTTGCTGTAAGTATCTGTTAGGTTTTGGCATCATTTTCTTGTTTGAAAATCAGACTCTCCAGCAGTGGAACTATGGTTTTATTTTTAAGTAATCTTTAAAAAATCTAATTAAAAAATTAAGGTAGGCTTATTATAAAATTTTAGAATTTTATAAAAATGAATAACTTAGGAAATGAATCTAATTCTGTTCTTGGAAGTATATGTGTAGTGTTTATTTACAGAAAGACAATGATGATATATACAATTCTGAAACTTGATTTTTAATGTACAGATATTCTGGGCACATTTTCATATTAATATACAAGACCTACTCTATTTGTAAGAAAAATAGAATGCTTGTTTTTTGAATAAATATCAAACAGAAAGTCAACAGTTAAGATGTTTTAAGAGATAGCATGCATGGAAAAACTATAAAAGCATCAGATAGACCTGAATATAAATCCCAGTTCTGACATCTCAAGATGTCACAAGAATTAGTAGCTGGCCCCATCTGGCAGCTCACACCTGTAGTCCCAGCACTTTGGAAGGCTGAGGAGGGTAAATAGCTCGAACCTAGGAGGTTGAAACCAGACATGTGTAAACCTAGACATGTCGATTACTCCATGAACTACAGTTGCTCACTTATAAAATGCAAGAAATAAAATCTGTCTTACAAAACTGTGAAATATATGATAAGAGAACTCACATAAAGTGCTAGGCACAGGAGAGCCACCTAAATTAGTTCCTTTCTTACCCTTTGTAGACTTTGTAATTGACATATGAAAATTTGTTGGGTCTTTTCTCCCATCTCCCTCCAAGATAAGTATAAGCCTATCAACCCACCGGAGACACTGAGAAACAAACACAGTTTTTAAAGTGTCAGGGTTTAGAATTCTTGTAAGATCATTTGTCAGTATAAGAAGTTATTACCATCAGAAGAATATCAAATCTAAAACAAAATGCTTATACATGAGGCTCTGTAGTTTATCCAAGCATATATCCTATAAAATACCAAGTTCTTCATGTTGACAATTTGAATTTGTCAGGAATCACTTGTCTAGGGTAGAAATAGTAACAATTAAACAAATGATTTATAAAAATGTATATTTTTTTATTTTCTTAAGGATGGGATGCTGTTATGGACTGGAAAGATGTCCTGTCAGGAGGGGAAAAGCAAAGAATGGGCATGGCTCGTATGTTTTATCATAAGTAAGTATACTAAATTCAGGTAACTACTAGGCCATTGTTGTAACCAAACCAAGCAACAATAGGAACAACAAAAGTTTGGACAGGATTTATCGTCTTCATCTGTAGCTTAAAAATATCTTACTACAAAATTAGTGCATAGAGTTCACAGTTGGTTTTTTTGTTTGTTTGTTTTTGAGACAGAGTCTCGCTCTGTCAGCCAGGCTGGAGTGCAGTGGCACGATCTTGGCTCACTGCAACCTCCGTCTCCCAGGCCCAAGCAATTCTCCTGTCTCAGCCTCCCAAGTAGCTGGAATTACAGGCGTGTGCCACCACGCCCGGCTAATTTTTGTGTTTTTAGTAGAGACGGGGTTTCACCATGTTGGCCAGGCTGGTCTTGAACTCCTAACTTCAGGTGATCCGCCCGCCTTGGCCTCCCAAAGTGCTGGGATTACAGGCGTGAGCCACCGTGACTGGCCAAATTATTTTTTCTTATAGTAGAATCTCCAAGTATTTGTTTTTCTATTTCTTTCATGTTGAGTAATGTTAGATGAAATAATGTGTACAAAGGACTAAATTAAATTTTTATGTATCCTAAGTTTGAAATAATGATTATTAATTTTAAAATATGAAGACTATACAATCACTATGATACTTGTGTAAATCCAATAGGTAGACATTCAGTAAAACTTTCTGAATTAAATTATTAAATTCAAGGTAAGTCAACTTTTTAACCATTCAGCAGCCTATTAAACCAGTAATGCTCTCCCCCTTGAAATTCAAAGCCATAGCCAATGGAAAAAGGGACCATTCTGCGTAGGTTTCAATGGATTGAGAAAAATTAAGAGGCAGGAAATAATTGCTTCTGATAAAACATTTTTAATTGTAACCAGCTTCATAGCCTTTTGAGTTTAAGGATATCAAGCAGAAGACATGGGAAGGAAATATTAAAGCCCTTCTGATTCTCCTGATTCATTCCATTCCCCCTCCCAACTCCCTTGGATCTCTGGCAATAAGAACCTGAGTTTTGCAGCACAGAAGGTTGTCAGAAACTATGTTACTCACTTTTTTTTTTTTTTTTTTTTGAGACGGAGTCTTGCTCTGTCGCCCAGGCTGGAGTGCAGTGGCACCATCTCGGCTCACTGCAAGCTCCGCCTCCCGGGTTCACGTCATTCTCCTGCCTCAGCCTCCTGAGTAGCTGGGACTACAGGTGCCCGCCACCAAGCCCGGCTAATTTTTTGTATTTTTAGTAGAGACGGGGTTTCACCGTGTTAGCCAGGATGGTCTCGATCTCCTGACCTCGTGATCCGCCCGCCTCGGCCTCCCAAAGTGCTGGGATTACAGGCGTAAGCCACCTCACCCGGCCCTCACTTTTAATAATTAAGTCTTGGGCAAAAAGGACCAAATAGTTATGTACATGAATTCATGAATGGGCCATAAATGGCAGATGCAGCACTCTTGTGTGAGTTGTTGTGAAAGTAGTAACATTTTATAGAGAACTTTAAAAATTATGTCAAGTATGTATTATCGAACACCTAGGAATTAGTTGGCCCACACTAAGCACTCAGTTGGCTCACACTAAGCACTCAGTTGGCTATTCATTTTTTTAAAAGCCTTTAATTACGGAAAAAAAGTCAAACTTCATCAAAAAAGAGAAATTGTAAGAACCCCATATTCTCATTACACTGATTTAACAAGTCTAATGTTTCGTTACACTTGATTTATCTACTCATTTTTTAAAATTTCTAAAGTATTTTAAAGCAAATCACAGGTATTATGATATTTTTCCCTAAATACTTTGAGAACAGTCTCTGAAATATTAGGATATATTCTTACATAATAACTTGTCACAATAATAATTAAATTAGTAATAATTATTTAAAGTTATTTAATATATGGTTCATATTCAAAGTTTCCCTAATTGTCTCAAAAATATCTTTTTACACTGATTTGTTCAAACCTGGATCTAAACAAGTTTCACACATTGCATTTTATTGTTACATCTCTTAATTCCTTTTTAATCTAAAGAGTCTCTCCTCCTCCCAGGCCCCACCTACCTTTTATACCTTTGACTTGCTGAAGGAATTGGGTTAATTGTCCCGTAGAATGTTGCCTATTCTAGATTTACCTCATTGCTACCTTATCAGGTAAATCTAGGTAGGGGTCCTTTATCTTGTTCCCCAATCTCCCATTTTTTTCTGTAAACTGGAAATTAGAGCAAAGAGCTTGATGAGATTTAGGTTCAGCCTTTTGAATAAGAACATAGCATAAAAAATGATTTAAAGAATTTTATTAAAATATAATATGTTCATTTTATAAAAGTAGAAAATGTATATAAGTAAAAAGAAGAAAAAATCTGTTATCTCATTAGCGATTATCTCATTAGCTGTTATCTTATTAACACTGTTAAAATTTTGGACATTTTAAATTATTCAAATTTTAAATTACTGTAACATTTAAACACTGTTAAAATTTTGGGATTTTTTTTTCCCAGTCTTGGTAATATGCAAAAATTCGTTGTTATTTTTATTATTTTGATGTAGCTATTTTCATAAAGCATATTATAATTTATATCCTTTTTATTTCATATGTAATTATGTGCTTTTCTGTATTACTATATAATAGTTAACCAGGGCTTATTGTTATTGTACTAAAGTTTATATACTAAATACACATATTTTAGGTATACAATTGGATGACTTTTATAAATGTTTCTACATTATGTAACCAATACCCCAATCAAGATAAAAAAACATTTCTGTTACCCTGGGAAGTTTACTCATCCTCCCTTCCAATCCAGTCCCCTCTAGACATTTCTGTCCTGATTTCTGTCACCATAAATTGGTTTTGCTTGTTGTATAACTTCAGGTAAATTAAATCACACACTAAATATTATTTTTGTGTTTAGCTGGGATTTTTAGTGAGAAAAATTATTAGTTGTGTTCATAACATGTTATTTATAATAATGTACATTTAAGAATATGGCTAGCTAAAAATATAAACTAAATTTTGCTAATTTGGGATTTTTAGTGATGTGTATTTTGGGATACCCCTTTCTCAGAAGATGTAGTGAAATTCAAGAGTAAACTTTACAGCTTGATCCCGGGCGCGGTGGATCACGCCTATAATCCCAGCACTTCGGGAGGGCGAGGCGGGTGGATCATGAGGACAGGAGATCCAGACCATCCTGGCCAACATAGTGAAACCCCGTCTCTACAAAAATTAAAAAAAATTAGCCAGGCATGGTGGCGGGCGCCTATAGTCCCAGCTACTCGGGAGGCTGAGGCAGCGGAATCACTTGAACCCAGGAGGCGGAGATTGCAGTGAGCCGAGATGGTGCCACTGCACTCCAACCTGGCAATAGTATGAGACTCCGTCTCAAAAACAACAACAACAACAACAACAAAAACTTTACAGCTTGGCATTTATGACCAGCTGTTACCCACTATCACCCTGAATCTGTTTGGGTCTAGGCCATAAGTACCCAGTAATATGATCACCAGCATAGAAATGTAATATGGTGGAATGTAAAATTTAGCCATAAATTTGTCACTGTATCAGTGTGTTAATAAAATAAACCTTGTAATAAATAGCAAGTGGCATTAATAAATGTTAACCCAAAGAGATTTCACATATCTGTAACCTGAAATAAATACTTGGTGTTTGTGTAACTAAAATATTTTGGATATAATGTGATAATGAGTGAAGATAAGTCACAAGTATATCAGTGGAAAGAAAATTTAGTGAGCCACATAAAGATCAATGAAGAAGAGCAAGTAGTTGAAAAGCACAATCTTTTGACAAAAGATAAAAGGAATTTTAGGTATTCAATCTAGTGAAGAGAAAGTTTAACAATAGGAAACTGCCTTCCCTCATTCTCAAATGATTTAAAGTTTGAATTGTGATGTGAAAGACTTGAGCTGGCAAAAATCAAGAACTTTAGCAGGAAGTACTAAGCATCACAATAGTATTCTCTTTTTGAGAGGATTTTAAATGTTTTAATAGCTCAAGAATGATTGAAAAACTCCTGTCTTAAGGGGATAGATTAAATCCTTCACGAAGCCCATTCTACTGATGATACACAAAGCAAAAAGGAAAGCAAATCTGAGAAACAATATTACCTAATGCTTTTTTTCTTATATCAGTATCGAATTCTAGCTATTGCTTGATATATTCAAGTACACACACAAACACACACAGACACACACCAGCCCTGCCAAGGAAACTAAAACATGTGATCTTACATCTGCTAGAGTAGAGGTTGCTATGACAACGGAGTGTAAGATGCATACATTTTTCTAATTCTAAAATGGTATATTTTCTCTGTTTCGATCAAGGCACTCTGAAAAATAAGCCAAAATGCAATAAACATGTTAATCACTGGAAAGAGGTTTACACAAAAGGAAAATTTTACTCAACCTTTCACTTTTATACTTCCTTTACTTCTTCCTCTTGTTCACTTAAAAATATCATTCATCCACAAAACAGAAAATAACTCTGAGACAAAGAAGTAATGCTTAATACTTAAACCAGAACAGTAACCAAAGGTCAAGCAGTGACACTACTTCTGTTGATGTTGTCATGGAGAACATGCACTGATCTTTTATTCTTTGCATAGGGAGCAGTTTTAGAGTCTTTGACTCCTGTATCTATTAGCCCTGACTACCTGACCTGTGGTAGGTAACTGGATTCTATTAATAAGCAAATCGATTTTAGGACAGTAACTTACAAGGCAAATAATGATTTATTCTGATAAGAAATTACTGATTTTCATTTTTTTAACTTTTTTGTCATTTTATTTTTAAAAATCAGAATTTTTTTGTAAAGAAAATTGTCCCGGCAAATACCTGATACTGATTTTCAACTCCAAATTGAATAGTAAATGACAGTGTAAGAGTTGACTTTGTTCCCATTAACTAAGCTAAGTCATGCTAAGTACCAACAGTCCAGAGGGACTTGAAAGAAGAAAGGGAAAGGACAAAGAAAAGTAAGAGCAGGGGGTGAGATGAGAGGGAGAAAGGATAAGCAGAGGGAAACAATGGCAAGTGATAAGATGCCTCTGATAACAGACAGGCATTATCAAAGTAAAAAATAAGCTTAAAAAATTGTCCAATATACTTAGAAAAATATTTACTTTTCCTCCTAAGAATTTGATTCTGGAGTATGGTTCCAATATTATGAGGTTAAATGTGTGTTATAAATTTGTAAGATGAGCCACATTCACTCTCGCAGTCTTATAGTGATGAAATTCCATTAGTAATGCTTAGGTATTCATATTGCTGATAAAATAATCTTCTCATTAAATCTTTGCTAACAGGGCTGTGGCCTGTTTGATAATTAGCTACTGCAATGTATTTTTCATGTAGTTAGTCAGACCCTTCTCACCAACAATGAACCTGCTTTCTGCAGGAAAATGTACTCAGTGACCTGCCTCATCTTTCCTATGTCCCATATTTATGATTCATTCATCTACAAGACAATAAAGCTTATTGTATTATTAGAAAGCGTCAGAAAATCTATTTAAATGTATTAAAAATGTGATATTATAGTCCAAAGAAGGGGACAACTACTTTTTTGCTTTATCATTTATTGCCTTTAATAATGCCATAGTCTTTTTTGCTCCATTAAAATTGTTAGCAATGCAACTCATATTGTCCAAAGAAAAACTTATAGTTCATATAGCAAAATAATTAATTTTTGTGTGTACTTTTTAAAAGACCAAAATATGCCTTGCTGGATGAATGTACCAGTGCTGTCAGCATTGATGTCGAAGGAAAGATATTTCAGGCTGCAAAAGGGGCTGGAATTTCCTTACTGTCTATAACACACAGACCTTCTCTTTGGTAAGTGTTTCTAGTGCTAATTTGTGGTAGATGGTTTTTCCTTAAATTTCTCAAAAAATAACTTTGCTAAATTTTTCACAGTAGAGGGTAGGGTATTTCACTTATTTTCTACCCATATTTCTCTTAAGTTGCACATTAGTAGCTTAGATACTCCCTACCTAATATCATTAGTGTATTATTTGAATTATCATCAGTTTCCAGTAATTCTTAAAAGACATGGAAAAATCCAGTGATTTATTTTAATGGAAAATATTTATCATTACCCAGTAACATGTACTGGGAAAAATATATTTATATATTTGTACATCATTCTTTTAGTCCTTTCTCTAAAACCCAGGAAAGTAAAATCTGGGGAAAAAAATATATGTACACACAACTTGATACTCCCCCAAAGGATTAAGTGGAGAAAACACAGGTGGTGGTGGGGAAGGGGGGAGGGCTTATTTTTAGTTGGTTTAAAGAAAAATGAGCTAAATTTTTTTAGAACTAATATCTCATAAAACCATATAGAATTTCCCCTTCAAATAAAGATGCTAATTTTACAATTCCCCTACTTTTCCATTGATTCATCATCATCATAATAGTTGAGCACTTATTCTGTTCCAGGTACATCTTATTTAAGCCTCACAACAACCCTGTGGAATTTAGGAAATCTAATCTTCCTATTTTACAGATGAAGAAACTGAGAACTAGAAAAGTGAGATACTTCCATGATCACATACTCTGTACTACAGCACACGGCTCTCATTATAAGGAACTCAAAGTGTATCTCATGCATTAACCATAAATACTACATTCTCTACTTTTGCATTTCTATTTAATCAATGAAAATTTTTTCTTTTGACTTCTTAGTAACTATAACTGTCTCTATATATGCTTTGGCCTCCTGTTTTCTAAAGGACTGCACAGGATTCCTCCTCTCTCTCTTTCTGGCTGCAGCATTCTGTGGCAGGTGGCTGATCAGATTTCATGCCAAAGTTGTCATGATGTACATGGCTTCAAATCTAGCCTAGTAGCAAGCATTATTGGAATTAATCCTTGAAGCCCTTCTAGACCTTTGACCTTATAAAGAATGTTTACATTAAAATTGTTAGCAAACAGTATTCATCCAATCAGGCTTTTATTGTTCAAAATTCTTTGACTCTGAGTTTCATTTATATTGAAAAGATAATCTATTTTCACACTCAGTTTAAACCTTCAGATTTTTCAGAATTTTTAAAAAATATACTTTCTGGATCTAGTCCAGCATGAGTTAGGATCCATGCCAATGAATATGCTTCCTCTGACTTTTATCCTGAAGAAGACCAACAGGACCTAGATCTTTAAGACAATAATGACATTTGCCTGTAAATCCTCTGAATCAAGGACAACACAGAGCTAGGCCAGTACTCTTGAGCCCTTTTTGGTATGAACCTTGATTTCCAGACTTTCTCCCAAATTAATCACATGTTGGGACATATTAGGCTTGGAGTTTTTCTGACCTGTGTTAATGGATTTATTATGCTATCCTGCCATTCAATTCCTTACTCAAGTAGCCTTAGGAGGCATTGAAAGCATATATAGCCATTGTTTCCTCAATTGAGGGAACAAATATTCTTTTTAAGTAAATAACAAAATCTGTAAGGCTATGCCTTTTGACAAGAAACACATTTTTAATTGCAGCTACCCAAGTACATTTCTCCACAAAACAAAACAACATGTTAGTTCTGATTTTTTTATTTAGCTTTGCCATTTCAGGTTGTCATTTCTGATTATTCTTTCTCTCAGGGAAAATAAAAATTTCATTTTCCCTGAATAGATTTCAGAAGTGGGGAAAGATGTGTCATATTTTTCCCATAACAACAAATGAGTAATTGTTGATTGTAAAGATTAAAATCAATACTAGAGTCTGAAGAAGTAAAAATTTATAGAAGCTTATTAAAATTTCTGATTCCTGGATAGAATTATAGCTGTATAACCATCACTTTCCTAAGCTTTTTCCTATTTGTGAAGGAAGTTTAAAGATTATCTCAAATGAGTTTCAGTTAAAATAGATAAACCCTGAAATATTATCTCAGCTTGTAATATAGAACATGCGTTTGAATCTCAGGGTATGAAACGCCTACACAGTTGGTTCCTCCCATGTAGAAATCAAATAATGTTGTAAGACCAGAGTGATGAGCCAAACCATCATTATACATCGAAGGTGGTGTTTGCCCAATATATGAATGACCATGTATGAGTGAGATCATGTGGTATTTGTCTTTCTGTGTCTAGCTTATTTCACTTACTATAATGTCCTCCAGGTTCTTCCATGTTTTTGTAAGTGGCGGGATTTTATTCTTTTTTACAGTGGAGTAGTATTCCATCATGTATATATATAACATTCTTTATCTTTTCATCCATTGATGGACACTAGGGTTGATTCCATATGTTGGCTGTAAAAATAGTGCTGAAATAAACATGGGAGTGCAGTTATCTCTTTGACATACTGAGATCATTTCCTTTGCATATATTCCCAGTGGGGGATTGCTGGATCATTTTGTAGTTCTATTTTTAACATTTTGAGGAACCTCCTTACTGTTTTCCATGATGGCTATACTAATTTATATTCCCACCAAAGGTGTGTAAGAGTTCCCTTTTTTCCACATCCTCACCAACACTTTCTGTCATTTTCTTAATAGCCATTCTGACAAGAGTGAGGTGATTTGAATTTACCTAATGATTAGTGTTGTTGAGCATTTTTTGATATGCCTGTTTGTCATTTGTGTGTATCTTCTTTTGAGAAATGTTCATTCAGATCTTCTGTCCATTTTGTAATCAGGTTATTCATTTTCTTGCTATTTAGTTGTTTGAATTTCTTATATATGTTGGCTGTTATCAGATATATAG
Organism: Homo sapiens; assembly: GCF_000001405.40. Lineage (NCBI taxonomy): Eukaryota > Metazoa > Chordata > Mammalia > Primates > Hominidae > Homo > Homo sapiens. Next base: position 39,570,844 of record NC_000012.12, on the reverse strand, counting down.
TTTCCAAATATTTTCTCCAATTTGATAGGTATCTCTTCATTCTGTTGATTGTTTTCTTTGTTGCACAGAAGCTTTTGAGTTTGATGTAATCCCATTTGTCTATTTTTACTTTTGTTGCCTATGCTCTTGAGGTCATATCCAAAACTCGTTGCCCAAATTTCATTGTCATTTCAAATTTATATCCAAATTTCATTGTCATGAAATTTTTGCCCTATGTATTCTAATAATTTCAGGTCTTGCATTGAAGTCTTTAATCCATTTTGAGTTTGTTTTTGCATATGGTGAGCAATAAGGGTCAAATTTCATTCTTCTACCTGTGGATATACAGTTTCCCACAATTTATTGAGGATACTGCCCTTTCCCAATAGTGTGTTCTTGGCAACTTTGTTGAAAATCAGTTGACTATAAATACAAGGATTTATTTCTGGGTTCTCTATTCTATTCCTTAAGTCTGTGTGTCTGTTTTTGTGTCAGTACAATGCTGTTTGGGTTGCTACAGTTTGGTAGTATATTTTGACACCAGGTAGTGTGATGGCTCCAGCTTTGTACTTTATGCTCAAGAATTTTTTCACTATTTTGGGTGTTTTGCAGTTGCACACAAATTTTAGAATTTTTTTTCTATTTCTCTGAAGACTATCATTGGCATTTCCATAGGGATTGAATTGAATATGTAGATCACTTCGGGTAGTATTGACATTTTAACAATATTAATTCTTCCAATTCATAAACATGAGATATCATTTTATTTGTGTATGTGTGTCTTCTTCGATTCCTTACATTAATGTTTTATAGTTTCATTGTAGAGACCTTACACCTCCTTGCTTATATTTATGCCTAAGTGTTTAACTTTTTCTAGCTATTGAAAATGGGATTGTTTCCTTGATTTTTTTCACATAATTTGCTGTCAGTGTAGAGAAATGCTACTGATTTTTACATACTGATTTTGTATCTTGCAACTTTCCTGAATTCATTTATAAATCTAATGTTTTCTGATGGAGTCTTTAGTACTTTCTATATATAAATGTGGTACATAACATTAACAAAATGAAGGATAAGAACATGTTATCTGGGGGAGTGGAGCCAAGAGGGCTGAATAGGAACAGCTCCAGTCTACAACTCCCAGCATCAGCGATGCAGAAGACAGGTGTTTTTTGCATTTCCAACTGAGGTACCGGGTTCATCTCACTGGGGAGTGTCAGAAAGCGGGTGCAGGACAGTGGGTGCAGACCACCGAGCGTGAGGCGAAGCAGGGCGAGGCATCGCCTCACCCAGGATGCACAAGGGGTCAGGGAATTCCCTTTCCTACTCAAAGTAAGGGTTGACAGACGGCACCTGGAAAATCGGGTCACTCCCACCCTAATACTGCGCTTTTCCAACAGTCCTAGCAAACGGCACACCAGGATATTATATCCCGTGCCTGGCTCGGAGGGTACTATGCCCACGGAGCCTTGCTCATTGCTAGCACAGCAGTCTGAGATCAAACTGCAAGACGGCAGCAAGGCTGGGGAGGGGTGCCCGCCATTGCCAAGGCTTCAGTAGGTAAACAAAGCGGCAGGGAAGCTCCAACTGGGTGGAGCCCACCACAGCTCAAGGAGGCCTGCTTGGATCTGTAGACTCAACCTCTGGGGGTAGGGCATAGACAAACAAAAGGCAGCAGAATACTCTGCAGACTTAAATGTCCCTGTCTGACAACTTTGAAGAGAGCAGTGGTTCTCACAGCACACAGCTGGAGATCTGAGAACGGACAGACTGCCTCCTCAAGTGGGTCCCTGACACCCAAGTAGCCTAACTGGGATGCACCCCCAAGTAGGGGCAGACTTACACCACACACAGCTGGGTACTCCTCTGAGAAAAAAATTCCAGAGGAATGAACAGGCAGCAACATTGGCTGTTCAGGAATATTTGCTGTTCTGCAGCCTCCACAGCTGATACCCAGACAAACAGGGTCTGGAGTGGACCTCTAGCAAACTCCAACAGACCTGCAGTTGAGGGTCCTGACTGTTAGCAGGAAAACTAACAAACAGAAAGGACATGAACACCAAAACCCCATCTGTAAATCACCATCATCAAAGACCAAAGATAGATAAAACCAGAAAGATGGGGAAAAAACAGAGCAGAAAAACTGGAAACTCTAAAAATCAGAGCACCTCTCCTCCTCCAAAGGAACGCAGCTCCTCACCAGCAACGGAACAAAGCTGGATGGAAAATGACTTTGACGAGTTCAGAGAAGAAGGCTTCAGATGATCAAACTACTCCGAGCTAAAGGAGGGAGTTCGAACCCATGGAAAACAAGTTAAAAACCTTGAAAAAAAATTAGACGAATGGCTAGCTAGAAAAACCAATGCAGAGAAGTCCTTAAAGGACCTGAGGGAGCTGAAAACCATGGCACGAGAATGAACATGGTGAATGCACAAGCCTCAGTAGCCGATTCAATCAACTGGAAGAAAGGGTATCAGTGATGGAAGATCAAATGAATGAAATGAAGTGAGAAGAGAAGTTTAGAGAAAAAGGAATAAACAGAAATGAACAAAGCCTCCAAGAAATATGGGACTATGTGAAAAGACCAAATCTACATCTGATTGGTGTACCTGAAAGTGACGGGGAGAATGGAATCAAGTTGGAAAACACTCTGCAGGATATTATCCAGGAGAACTTCCCCAATCTAGCAAGGCAGGCCAACATTCAAATTCACGAAATACAGAGAATGCCACAAAGATACTCCTCAAGAAGAGCAACTCCAAGACACATAATTGTCAGATTCACCAAAGTTGAAATGAAGGAAAAAATGTTAAGGGCAGCCAGAGAGAAAGGTGGGGTTACCCACAAAGGGAAGCCCATCAGACTAACAGCTGATCTATCAGCAGAAACTCTACAAGCCAGAAGAGAGTGGGGGCCAATATTCAACATTCTTAAAGAAAAGAATTTTCAACCCAGAATTTCATATCCAGCCAAACTAAGCTTCATAAGTGAAGGAGAAATCAAATCCTTTACAGACAAGCAAATGCTGAGAGATTTTGTCACCACTAGGCCTGCCCTAAAAGAGCTCCTGAAGGAAGCACTAAACATGGAAAGGAACAACCGGTACCAGCCACTGCAAAAGGATGCCTAATTGTAAAGACCATGCAGACTAGGAAGAAATTGCATCAACTAATGAGCAAAATAATCAGCTAACATCATAATGACAGGATCAAATTCACACAATATTAACCTTAAATGTAAATGGGCTAAATGCTCCAATTAAAAGACACAAATTGGCAAATTGGATAAAGAGTCAAGACTCATCAGTGTGCTGTATTCCCCAGACCCATCTCATGTTCAGAGACACACATAGGCTCAAAATAAAGGGATAGAGGAAGATCTACCAAGCAAATGGAAAACAAAAAATGCAGGGGTTGCAATCCTAGTCTCTAATAAAAGAGACTTTAAACCAACAAAGATCAAAAGAGACAAAGAAGGCCATTACATAATGGTAAAGGGATCAATTCAACAAGAAGAGCTAACTATCCTAAATATATATGCACCCAATACAGAAGCACCCAGATGCATAAAGCAAGTCCTCAGAGACCTAGAAAGAGACTTAGACTCCTGCACAATAATATTGGGAGAGTTTAACACCCCACTGTCGACATTAGACAGATCAATGAGACAGAAAGTTAACAAGCATATCCAGGAATTGAACTCAGCTCTGCACCAAGCAGACCTAATAGACATCTACAGAACTCTCCACACCAAATCAACACAATATACATTCTTCTAAGCACCACACCACACCTATTCCAAAATTGACCACATAGTTGGAAGTAAAGCACTCCTCATCAAACGTAAAAGAACAGAAATTATAACAAACTGTCTCTCAGACCACAGTGCAATCAAATTAGAACTCAGGATTAAGAAACTCACTCAAAACCGCTAAACTACATGGAAACTGAACAACCTGCTCCTGAGTGACTACTGGGTACATAACAAAATGAAGGCAGAAATAAAGATATTCTTTGAAACCAATGAGAACAAAGACACAACGTACCAGAATTTCTGGGACACATTCAAAGCAGTGTGTAGAGGGAAATTTATAGCACTAAATGCCCACAACAGAAAGCAGGAAAGATCTAAAATTGACACCCTAACATCACAATTAAAAGAAATAGAGGAGCAAGAGCAAACACATTCAAAAGCTAGCAGAAGGCAAGAAATAACTAAGATCAGAGCAGAACTGAAGGAAATAGAGACACAAAAAACCTTTCAAAAAAATCAATGAATCCAGGAGCTGGTTTTTTGAAAAGATCAACAAAATCGATAGACCGCTAGCAAGACTAATAGAGAAGAAAAGAGAGAAGAATCAAATAGATGCAATAAAAAATGATAAAGGGAATATCACCACTGATCCCACAGAAATACAAACTACCATCAGCAAACACTATAAACACTTCTATGCAAACAAACTAGAAAATCTAGAAGAAATGGATAAATTCCTCGACACAAACAACCTCCCAAGACTAAACCAGGAAGAATTTCAATCTCTGAATAAACCAATAACAGGCTCTGAAATTGAGGCAATAATTAATAGCTTACCAACCAAAAAAACTCCAGGACCAGACGGATTCACAGCCGAATTCTACCAGAGGTACAAGGAGGAACTGGTACCATTCTTTCTGAAACTATTCCAATAAATAGAAAAAGAGCGAATCCTCCCTAACTCATTTTATGAGGCCAGCATCATCCTGATACCAAAGCCGGGCAGAGACACAACAAAAAAAGAGAATTTTAGACCAATATCCCAGATGAACATTGATGCAAAAATCCTCAATAAAACACTGGCAAACTAAATCCAGCAGCACATCAAAAAGCTTATCCACCATGATCAAGTGGGCTTCATCCCTGGGATGCAAGGCTGGTTCAACATATGCAAATCAATAAATGTAATCCAGCATGTAAACAGAACCAATGACAAAAACCATAAGATTATCTCAATAGATGCAGAAAAGGCCTCTAACAAAATTCAACAACCCTTCATGCTAAAAACTCTCAATAAATTAGGTATTGATGGGATGCATATCAAAATAATTAGAGCTATCTATGACAAACCCACAGCCAATATCATACTGAATGAGCAAAAACTGGGAGCATTCCCTTTGAAAACTGGCACAAGACAGGGATGCCCTCTCTCACCACTCTTATTCAACATAGTGTTAGAAGTTCTGGCCAGGGCAATCAGGCAGGAAAGGAAATAAAGGGGATTATATTAGGAAAAGAGGAAGTCAAGTTGTCCCTGTTTGCAGATGAAATGATTGAATACCTAGAAAACCCCATTGTCTCAGCCCAAAATCCCCTTAAGCTGATAAGCAACTTCAGCAAAGTCTCAGGATACAAAATCGATATGCAAAAATCACAAGCATTCTTATACACCAATAACAGACAAACAGAGAGCCAAATCATGAGTGAACTCCCATTCACAATTGCTTCCAAGAGAACAAAATACCTAGGAATCCAACTTACAAGGGATGTGAAGGACCTCTTCAAGGTGAACTACAAACCACTGCTCAATGAAATAAAAGAGGATACAAACAAATGGAAGAACATTCCATGCTCATGGGTAGGAAGAATCAATATCGTGAAAATGGCCATACTGCCCAAAGTAATTTATAGATTCAATGCCATCCCCATCAAGCTACCAATGACTTTCTTCACAGAATTGGAAAAAACTACTTTAAAGTTCATATGGAACCAAAAAAGAGCCCATATTGCCAAGTCGATCCTAAGCTAAAAGAACAAAGCTGGAGGCATCACGCTACCCGACTTCAAACTATACTACAAGGCTACAGTAAACAAAACAGCATGGTACTAGTACCAAAACAGAGATATAGCCAATGGAACAGAACAGAGCCCTCAGAAATAATGCCGCATATCTACAACCATCTGATCTTTGACAAACCTGACAAAAACAAGCAATGGGGAAAGGATTCCCTATTTAATAAATGGTGCTGGGAAAACTGGCTAGCCATAAGTAGAAAGCTGAAACTGGATCCCTTCCTTACACCTTATACAAAAATTAATTCAAGATGGATTCAAGACTTAAATGTTAGACCTAAAACCATAAAAACCCTAGAAGAAAACCTAGGCAATACCATTCAGGACATAGGCATGGGCAAGGACTTCATGTCTAAAACACCAAAAGCAATGGCAACAAAAGCCAAAATTGACAAATGGGATCTAATTAAACTAAAGAGTTTCTGCACAGCAAAAGAAACTACCATTAGAGTGAACAGGCAACCTACAGAATGGGAGAAAATTTTTGCAATCTACTCATCTGACAAATGGCTAATATCCAGAATCTACAATGAACTCCAACAAATTTACAAGAAAAAAACAAACAACCCCATCAAAAAGTGGGCAAAGGATATGAACAGACACTTCTCAAAAGAAGACATTTATGCAGCCAAAAGACACATGAAGAAATGCTCATCATCATTGGCCATCAGAGCAATGCAAATCAAAAACCACAGTGAGATACCATCTCACACCAGTTAGAATGGCGATTATTAAAAAGTCAGGAAACAACAGGTGCTGGAGAGGATGTGGAGAAATAGGAACACTTTTACACTGTTGGTGGGACTGTAAACTAGTTTAACCATTGTGGGAGTCAGTGTGGCGATTCCTCAGGGATCTAGAACTAGAACTACCATTTGACCCAGCCATCCCATTACTGGGTATATACACAAAGGATTATAAATCATGCTGCTATAAAGACACATGCACACATATGTTTATTGTGGCACTCTACACAATAGCAAAGACTTGTAATCAAGCCAAATGTCCAACAATGATAGACTGAATTAAGAAAATGTGGCACATATACACCATGGAATACTATGCAGCCATAAAAAATGATGAGTACATGTCTTTTGTAAGGACATGGATGAAGCTGGAAACCATCATTCTCAGCAAACTATCGCAAGGACAAAAAAACCAAACACCACATGTTCTCACTCATAGGTGTGAATTGAACAATGAGAATACATAGACACAGGAAGGGGAATATCACACACAGGGGCCTGTTGTGAGGTGAGGGGAGGGTGGAGGGATAGCATTAGGAGATATAACTAATGTTAAATGATGAGTTAATGGGTGCAGCACACCAACATGGCACATGTATACATATGTAACTAACCTGCATGTTGTGGACATGTACCCTAAAACTTAAAGTATAATTAAAAAGAAAAAAGAACATGTTATCTGCAGCCAGGAACAATTTATCTTTTTCCTTTATTTAACTTTTTCCTTTATTTATCTTTTTCCTTTCAAATTCAGATGCCTTTTATTTCTTTTTCTTGCCTAATTGCTCTGGGTAGGACTTTCAGTAGTACACTGAATGTAAGTGGCAAAAGTGAGCGTTCTTATTCTTACCTTGTTCCGTATCTTACAGAAAACATGTTATTTTTGTTTGTTTGTTTGTTTAGAGTCAGGGTCTCACTCTGTCACCCAGGCTGGACTGCAGAGGTGTGATCATATCTCACTGCAACCAAAAAACCCCTAGGATCAAGTGATCCTCCCACCTTGGCCTCCCGAAGTACTAAGATTTACAGGCATGAGCCACCATGCCTGGTTGCAGAGGGAAAGTTTTAAACTTTTCCCTTTTCAGTATAGATGTTAGCTGTGGGCTTGTCACATATGGTCTTTATTTTGTTGAGCTATGTTCCTCCTATGCTTAGTTTGTTGAGTGTTTTTAGCATAAAAGGATGTTCAATTTTATCAAATGCTTGTTCTGTGTCAATTAAGATAATCATATTTTTTGTCCTTCATTTTGTTAATGTTATGTACCACATTTATTGCTTTGCATATGTTCAACCTTTCTTGCATCTCCAGGATGAATTCCACGTGATCATGGTGAATGACCTTTTTAAAGTGCTGTTGAATTCAGTTTGCTGGTATTTTGTTGATGATTTTTGCACCTATGTTCATCAGGGATATTGGCCTGTAGTTTTCTTTTTCTTGTTGTTGTCTTTTTGTTTGGTTTCAGTATCAGGGTAATGCTGGCCTTGTAGAATAAGTTTGGATGTATTCCTTCCTCTTCAATTTTTGGAATAGTTTGAGAACTAATATTAGTTCTTTAAATATTTGGTAGAATTTGGTAGTTAAGCCATCAGATTCTGGGACTTTCTTGATGTGATTCCATTTCCTTATTTGTTATTTGTCTGTTGACATTTTCTGTTTCTTCATAGTTCAATCTTTGTAGGTTGTATGTGTTCAAAATTTATTCGTTTCTTCTAGGTTAATCAATTTGTTGGTTTATAATTGTTTACAACAGTCTCATCATTCTTTGTATTTCTGTAGTATTAATTATAATTTCTCTTTTTTAATCTCTGAATTTATTTATTTGAATCTTCTTTCTTTTTTCTTATTCTAGATAAACATTTGTCAAATTTGGTTATCTTTGAAAAAATCAATTATTCATTTTTGCTGATATTTTATGTTGTTTTTCCAGGCTCTATTTTATTTGTTTCCACTCTGATGTATATTATTTCCTTTCTTTTACTAGTTTTGGTTTGGATTTGTTCTTGTTTTCCAGTTCCTTGACCTACAATATTAGGTTGTTTATTTGACATTTTTAATCTATTTTGATGCAGGTATTTGTTGCTATAAATTTTCCTGTTTAAATTGCTTTTGCTGTATTCTACAGATTTGGTATGTTGTGTTTCCATTTTTGTTTTCAGAAGAAAATTTTTAAAATTTTTCTTTTAATTTCTTTATTGACCCATTGGTTAACCAATATCATGTTGTTTAATTTCTATGTATTTGTAAGTTTCCAAAGTTCTTCCTGTTTATTGATTTCTAGGTTTATATCATTCAAGAGAGAAAAGACACTTGATATAATTTCAATCTTCTTAAATTTTTGAAGACTTGTTTTATGGCATTACATGTGATCTATCCTGGAGAATGTTCCATGTGTAGTTGAGAAGAATGTATATTCTGAAGCTTTTTGATGAAATTTTCTATAAATGTTTGTTAGATCCATTTGGTTTAGAATATAGCTTAAATCTGGTGTTTCTTTCTTGATTTTCTGTCTGGATGATCTAATTGCTGAAAGTAGGGTGTTGAAGTCTCCTACTCGTATTGTAGTTCACTTCTTTCAGATCTAGGAGTATTTGATTTATATATGTGCTCTGATGTTGGGTTCAAATATATTCAGAATTATCATATCTTCTTGCTGAATTGACCTGTTTATTATTATATAATAACATTCTTGGCCTCTTTTATAGCTTTCACTTAAAGTCTATTTTACCTGACATTAGTATAGCTACTCCTGATGCCTTTTAGTTTTCATTTGGATAAAATATCTTTTGCATTCCTTCACTTTTAGTCTATATTGTCCTTGCAGATGAAGTGAGTCTCCTGTAAGCAGCGCACAGTTGGGTCTTGCTTTTTAATCCAGACACTGTCTTTTTTTTTTTTTTTTTTGAGACAGAGTCTTGCTTTGAAGCCCAGGCTGGAGTGCAGTGGTGTGATCTCAGCTCACTGCAACCTCTGCTTCCAGGTTCAAGTGATTCTCCTGCCTCAGCCTCCTTAGTAGCTAGGATTACAGGGGTCCACCACAAAACCCAGCTATTTTTTTTTTTAGTAGAGACGGGGTTTCACCATGTTGGCCAGGCTGGTCTCAAACTCCTGACCTCAAGTGATCTGCCCACCTCAGCCTCCAAAAGCACTGAGATTACAGACGTGAGCCACTGCACCTGGCCCAGAAACTATGTGTTTTAATTGGAGAACTTAATCCATTAATATTCAAGGTAATTATTAATAGGTAAGGAATTACTCCTGTCATTTTGTTAATTGCTTTCTAGTTGTTTTGTAGATATTTTCTTCCTTTTTTCTTCTCACAGTCTTTCTTTGTGGGTAAGTGATTTTCTTTAGTAATATGCTTTGATTCCTTGCTTTTTATTTTTAGTGCGTCTACTACAGATTTTTGCTCTGTAGTTACCATGAGGCTTACCAAAAACATCTTATAGTTAAACATGTTATTTTTGTACCTATTATATGTTTTTGCTTCATGGTTACCATGAGGCTTATAAAAACATCTTATAACATGTTATTTTAAGTTCATAACAACTTTAATTTAATTGCAAAAAAGGCACAATCTTTACCCTTTATCTCCCCATTTTGAATTTTTAATATCACAATTTACATCTTTTTATATTGTATATATGTTAACAGATTATTTTAGTTGTTAAAGTATATACAAATTGCAAAAAAACACAACCTTTACCCTTCATCTCCCCATTTTGAATTTTTAGTGTCACAATTTACATCTTTTTATATTGTATATACTTTAACAAATTATTTTAATGGTTATAATTTTTAATAGTTTTGTCTTTTTGTCTTCATACTAAAGAAATAAGTGATTTACCAATAGCAAAGACTTGGAACCAACCCAAATGTCCATCAATGATAGACTGGATTAAGAAAATGTGGCACATATACACCATGGAATACTATGCAGCCATAAAAAAGGATGAGTTCATGTCCTTTGTAGGGACATGGATGAAGCTGGAAACCATCATTCTCAGCAAACTATCACAAGGACAAAAAACCAAACACCACATGTTCTCACTCATAGGTGGGAAGTGAACAATGAGAACACTTGGACACAGGAAGGGGAACATCACACACCGGGGCCTGTTGTGGGGTGGGGGCAGCAGGGAGAGATAGCATTAGGAGATATACCTAATGTAAATGATGAGTTAATGGGTGCAGCACACCAACATGGCACACGTATACGTATGTAACAAACCTGCACATTGTGCACATGTACCCTAGAACTTAAAGTATAATAAAAAAAAGAAATAAGTGATTTACATAACCCCTTTATATTATTTGAGTATTCTGAATTTGACTGTTTACTTGCTTTTACCAGTGAGTTTTATACTTTCTAATGTTTTCTTATTACCCATTAGCATCATTTCTTTCAATGTGAAGAACTCCCTTTAGTACTCCTTATAAGACATATCTGGTGGTGATAAAGCCCCTCAGCTTAGTTTGTGTGGGAAAGTCTATCTCTTTCATTTCCAAAGGACAATTTTGCTAAGAACAGAATTCTTGGCTGAAAGGTTTTTTCCCTTCAGCACGTTGAATATGTAATTCCATTCTCTCCTGGCCTGTGAGGTTTCTGCTGAAAAAGCTGGTAACAGTCATATTAGAACTCCCTTATGTGTTATTTTTTTTTCTTGCTTTCAGGTTTCTCTCTTTGTCTTTGGTTTTTGGCAGTTTGATTGTAATATATCATCGGGTAGTCTTATTTGGATTGAGTATGATTGAAGACTTTTGACCTTCCTGTACCTAGATAGTTATATGTCTCCAGATTTTGAAATGTTTCTGCTATGATTTATTTAAATAAGCTTTATAAATCTTTATCTTTCTTAACTCCTTCTTGAATACCAACAACTCATATATTTCCTTTTTTTTTTTTTTTTTTTTTTTGGAGCTGGAGTCTCACTCTTGTCACCCAGGCTGGAGTGCAATGGTGTGATCTTAGCTCACTGCAACCTCCGCTTCCTGGATTCAAGCAATTCTCCTGCCCTGCCTCAGCATCCCAAATAGCTGAGAGTACAGGCACACACCACCACGCTGGGCTAATTTTGTATTTTTAGTAGAGACAGGGTTTCACCAGGTTGGTCAGGCTGGTCTTGAACTCCTGACCTCACATTATCCACCCACCTCAGCCTCCCGAAGTGATGGGATTACAGGCATGAGCCACCATGTCCAGGCGACATTTGCTCTTTTGATGCTATTCCATAAGTCCCATAAGCTTTCTTCATTCCTTTTCATTCTTTCTTCATATCATAAGTTTGCAAGTAACCTGTTTTCAAGTTCACATATTTTTTTCTTCTGTTTGATAAATTCTGCTATTGATGTCTCCATTGCATTTTTAATTTTTTTCATTGTATTTTTCAGCTCCAGCATTTCTGGCTTTTTTCCCATTATTTCATATCTGTTGCATTTCTCTAATAGATTTCTGAATTGTTTCTCTGTATTTTATTGAAGTGCGCTGTATTAGTTCATTTTCATACTGCTATAAAGAACTGCCTGAGACTGGATAATTTATAAAGAAAAGAGGCTTAATTGACTCACAGTTCAGGATGGCTGGGGAGGCCTCAGAAAACTTATGATCGTGGCAGAAGGTGAGGGGGAAGCAAAGCACCTTATTCACAAGGTGGCAGGAAGGAGAATGAACTCAGGAGGAACTACAAAACACTTATAATACCATCAGATCTCAAGAGAATTCAATCACTATCATGAGAACAACATGGGGGAAACCCCATCATGATCCAATTGCCTCCACCTGGTCTTTCCCTTGACACGTGGAGATTTTGGGGAATACAATTCAAGATAAGATTTTGGGTAAGGAAACAGCCAAACTGTATCATTTCGCCCTGGCCCCTCCCAAATCTTATGTCCTCACTTTCAAAACATAATCATGCCCTTCCAACAGCCCCTCAATGTCTTAACTCATTCCAGCATTAACCCAAGAGTCCAAGTCCAAAGTTAGTTACTTCCTAGATATAATGGGGGTACATGAAATGGGCAAATACACCCATTCCAAATTGGCCAAAAAGAAGGGGCTATAGGCCCTGTGCAAATCCTAAATCCAGTGGATCAGTCAAATCTTAAAGCTCTGAAATAATCTTTAACTCCATATCTCACATCCAGGTGCTGCTGATGCAAGAGTTGGGCTCCCATAGCCTTGGGCTGCTCACCCCTGTAGCTTTGCAGGGTATGGCTGCTTTCATGGGCTGGCATTGAGTGTCTGCTGCTTTTCCAGGTGCATGGTGCAAGCTGTTAGTGGATCTACCATTCTGTGGTCTGGGGGATGGTGGCCCTCTTCTCACAGCTCCACTAGGCAATGCCCCAGTGGGGGCTCTGACCTCACATTTTCCTTCTGCACTACCCTAGCAATGGTTCTCCATAAGGGCTCTGACCCTGCAGCAAACTTCTGCCTGGACATCCAGGTGTTTCCATACATCCTCTGAAATCTAGGCAGAGCTTTCCAAACCTCATTTCTTGACTTCTGTGCACCACAGGTCCAACCACCAAGGACTGGGGCTTGTACCCTCAGAAGGAATGGCCTGAGCTGTACCTTGGCCCATTTTAGCCACAGCTGGGACATAGGGCACCAAGTCCTGAGACTGCACAAAGCAGCAAGTTCCTGGACCTGGCCCAGGAAACCATTTTTACCTCCTATGCCTCCAGGGCTGCCATGAAGACCACTTACATGCCTTGGAGACATTTTCCCCATTGTCTTGGTGATTAACATTTGGTTCCTCATTACTTATGCAAATTTCTGCAGCTGGCTTGAATTTCTCCCAAGAAAAGGGGTTTTTCTTTTCCATTGCATCGCCAGGCTGTAAATTTTCTAAACTTTTATGCTCTGCTTTCCTTTCAAACATAAGTTCCAATTCCAAATCATCTCTTTGTGAAGCATAAAACTGAACACTTTTAAGAGCACCCAGATTACATCTTAAATGCTTTGCTGCTTAGAAATTTCTTCTGCCTAAATCATCTCTCTCAAGTTCAAAGTTCCATAGACCTCTAGGGCAGGGGCAAAATGCCACCAGTCTCTGCTAAAACATAGCAAGAGTCAGCTTTGCTCTAGTTCCCAAGAAGATTCTCATCTTCATCTGAGACTACTTCAGCCTGGCCTTCACTGCTCATATTACTATCAGCATTTTGGTCAAAGCAATTCAATAAGTCCCTAGGAAATTCCAAACTTTCCCACATCTTCCCATCTTCTGAGCCCTCAAAATTGTTTCAATCTCTGCCTGTTACCCAGTTCCAAAGTCACTTCCACATTTTTGGGAATCTTTTTTTTTTTTTTTGAGACAGAGTCTCACTCTGTCACCCAGGTTGGAGTGCAGTGGTGTGATCTTGGCTCACTGCAACATCTGCCTCCTGGGTTCAAGCAATTCCCTGCCTCAGCCTCCTGAGTAGCTGGGATTACAGGCACCCGCCTTCACGCCCAGCTAATTTTTGTATTTTTGTGGAGATGGGGTTTCACCATCTTGGCCAGGCTGGTCTTGAACTCCTGACCTCATGATCCACCTGCCTCAGACTCCCAAAGTGCTGGGATTACAGGCATGAGCCACCATGTTAGGCCTGGGTATCTTTATAGCAGCACCCCATCTACCAGTACCAATTTACTGTATTAGTCTGTTTTCATATCGCTATAAAGAACTGCCCTAGACCGGGTAATTTATAAAGGAAAAAGGGTTTAATTGACTCACAGTTCAGCATGGCTGGGGAGGCCTCAGGAAACTTACAATCATGGTGGAAGGCAAACGGGAAGAAAGGCACCTTCTTCACAAGGCAGCAAGAAAGAGAACGAACACAGGAGGAACTACCAAACACTTATAAAACCACCAGATCTCATGAAAACTCACTCATTATTATGAGAACAGCATGGGGAAAACCACCCCCATGATCCAACTGCCTACGCCTTGTCTCTTCCTTGACACATGGGGCTTATGGGGATTACAATTCAAAATGAGATTTTGGGTGGGGATGCAGAAAAACCATATTATTCATTAAGCTTACTTTAAAAACAACTATTTTAATTTTTTTGTCAGGCAGGTCAAACATCTCCATCTTTTTAGAGTCAGTCACTGGCACTTTATTCTGTCCATTTGGTGAGTCCCATTTCCCTGATTGTTCTTGATCCTTCTGGTCATGAATTGATGTCTACACATTAAAGACCTAGAAATTTATTCCAGTTTGCATAGTCTAGCTTTGTCTGAGAAAAGTTCTTTGACAGTAAGCCTATCCAGAAATTCTAGGCAGGTCACCTGTTGTGGTTTCTAAGATAGTGATTGCTGCAGCTATTGCAACACCAAGAGCACTCTAAGCCCAGGACGATGGTGGATGGTGCAGTGTCAGGGTGGAATCCCTTGACCACCAAGGCTGGCACAGTGCTGAGCTGAAATCTGAGCCCCCAGCCACTGAGTCCTGCCTGCCACTGTGGGCTATTTGGAGCCCATGGCTTCTATAGTTTGTTGGTTCGTGGTGATGCAGACCAGAAATTGAGTTTGTCTGACAGGGACAACAGGTTTCTGTCTGGCACTGAGGCAGGTTCAGAGGCTCAGTCTGCAGGTACCAGCAGAAGTGAGGGTCTGTAGGAGTCTGTCTAGTGCTGGGTTTTACTGTGGCAGGCCTGGTAGTGTGTTCCAATGCAAACTCTTATGCTTACATCCCTCTCTTTTCCCCAAGTAGATGGTATTTCTCTCTGAGCTGTGCACTTTGTGGTTGGGACATGGGTGACTTGGAGAATGTAAAACTGCACTTCCTACCCACTCCAATGACTATTTTCTTATTAATATTCTGTAACCAGATACTGTGAACTCTTGCCTGGTTTCCTTAGCTTCTGTAGAGGTAGAGGTATTTTTGTGTGTAGGTAATTTTGATGTTTTCCTGCAAGCGGATGATCACTGTAGAGTCCTATTCCACCATCTTCCTCCACCCTTTGTGCGTTGAAATCATTTGTATAAGTAAAAGAAGTCAGTCACAAAAGGCCACATATTCTATAATTCCATGTATATGAAATGTCTATAATAGAGAAATCTATAGAGAGAGGGGAGATTAGTGGTTGTCAGGGGCTGGGTGGAAAGGGAAATGGAGAAAGACTGCTGATGGGTATTGGGTTTCTTTTGGGGTTGAAGAGAATGTTCTGAAATTACTGGTGATGGTTGCATGAGCTTGTGAGTATGCTAAGAATCATCGAATTTTACGCTTTAAAGGATGAACTTATGGTATGTGAATTATCTCTCAATTTTTTAAAAAGCAGGAGGAAACTGCTTGAAAAAAGCCCACCGATCATAGTTAACAATGACAGACCAGATCTTAAAAGGAAGCAAGAAGTGAGAAAAACTATAAGGGAAGGCAGAAAAATTGAGGACACATAAGAATATAGGCCAGTTCAGCAGTGAAAAAATGCAGGTGGTTCAGCCATGCAGGACCAGCTCTGCCAACTTTTCTTTCACCAAATATCCCCCACAAAGCCGACAGAATGGTGACCTCAGCCTCCTTTAGGACAAGGTGGATCATCTCCTATCTCATCAGTAAAATAATCTCTGTACCTCTGTGAAGTTCCTAATTATGAAACTGAGCCATAAGAAAGAGATTAAATCATATAAAAATGTGGAAGTATCTTTAAAACATTTCTTCTATCAAAGAGTTGTTTTTTAAAATGTTTTTAAACTATATTTATTATTGAGAAAATTTTACTTATGCAGAAGAACTCATTCCCAAAGGATGGTGTATTAATGAGTTGCTATTGTATTTCCTTTATTTTCCTTAGTTTTTCTATGACCTTTTAATGTTGATTTTCTTTCCTCAGCTTCCTTTCCTTACTCCCATCCTAAGAATGCCTTACTATTTATTCAGGAGCCAAATTGAGTTATGAAGAAATTAAATACATGCAACAGCATGTCTTCCTTTACAGTTAATATACATCCAGAATATGAAAAAAATAATAATATTTTCCTAAAGATCAGATTAATGACTTTTGGGTTTTAAAAAAATCACAGTATTTAACTTTTTGATATGTCCTTAAAACTCAAATGTAAAATAGCACCTACTTAAAATTTGCCTTTGGGTATCAATTTGAATGATAAACCTACAACTAAAATGATTTTTCAACATTATGGCTAATAATATTATTTCATTTTAATTATGCAGGAAATACCACACACATTTATTACAGTTTGATGGTGAAGGAGGTTGGCGCTTTGAACAATTGGATACTGCTATCCGTTTGACATTGAGTGAAGAAAAACAAAAGCTAGAATCTCAGCTAGCTGGAATTCCCAAAATGCAGCAGAGACTCAATGAACTATGTAAAATTTTGGGAGAAGACTCAGTGCTGAAAACAATTAAAAATGAAGATGAGACATCTTAATTTGTTTTGACATATTTTAAAAGTTAATTATTAGATAAAGGCTCAAAGACATTCTGTTATACTGCATGAAGTATGTTAAGCTAAGCACAGAGAAAAAAAGGCAGCAAGACATGTTTTATAAGATTTTAGCATTAAGGAAGTATATGATCTGACTTTTCAGAAGAAAATAAACAAATGCATTATGTAAGGTCAGTCATTATGACTTATACTAATTCCTAGTGAAGGCCTAATGCACTTGTAAAACAGGATTTTCTAGGTGAATTCATGATGAATACCAGATTTACTATGTATATGTGGTGTGTCTGAAGTTCTTAACAAACATGGGCAATATTCTGGAAATGAAACAAGTTAAACTGAGCAGCATTTGGGTTGATACCAAGTGCATAAGATTCAAACTTTGAGTGACATTTAGTCCATTTATGGTTGATATTAGGTTTAATAGCTAGAATTCAAATTGATTATTGCTAGTGGCCAACTAAACCTGTACAAAATAGCTGACAGTTTTATAAATAATTTCAATATAAAAATTGTTTTAATGGCATTTGTTGAAAGAAAAAAGCATGGCTAAAATGTATAAAATGCCATATTTTTAAATTTTGGACTTTAAGCATCTTAATGAGGGCATATAACAAATTAATTTTAGTACAAATCTTAAATATTTTTAATAAATCCTTTCATTTTAAAAAGAGAATTGCCAATACAGAAAAGGAGTATCCAAACAATGTCTCAACCTGATAATTTCCTTAGCAGAATTACCTA
Source organism: Homo sapiens (assembly GCF_000001405.40). Taxonomy (NCBI): domain Eukaryota; kingdom Metazoa; phylum Chordata; class Mammalia; order Primates; family Hominidae; genus Homo; species Homo sapiens. The sequence goes on along the minus strand of NC_000012.12, from coordinate 39,553,152 downwards.
TTGCAACTTCTGTTCAGAAATACACAGCTTGTTTTTTTGCCCAAGGATGAGTCTACATTTTAAGAACTGCAATGGTATAAAGGAACTTAAGGATTCTGAGAATCATAGTAATAACATACATTGGAATAGTACTTTATAATTTACAATCCCCATTTACATCATTTCACCTTAATGTTGATGACAATGTTTTGAAACAAATACTATTTTTCCTACTTTGCTTTTGAGAAAATTGACACTCAGACTTGCCCTAATCATGCACTTTACTTAAGGAAAGATCGAGAAATCAAATGAAGTTCTCCTGACTCTCTGGTTTAGTGCTCTTTTGTTATTATCCTTTAAATCAAACTGGGCTATAATAGCAATAAAAGTTAGACGAAGTGTAGAAAATAAAATAAATTTCATAATGTTAGTCTTATTGTTATTTGGTTATTGTTTACAAGAAATGAAAATTAAGTACAAAGTGCAAAGATCATTGTTCTGCGGCTTAAAATGAAATGAGAAAGTTAGTAAATCATTCAGCAACTATGCAGTCTTACTCAATATTAATGTACCTCTAAGGCATTAGCAATGAGAAGGGCAAATAATTATGGTTTTGGTAAAGTTAATATTTATTGAACATAATGAGAAATAATCTATATGGACTAGTCATATGAAATAGATTTTATTCTATTTGTGTGCACTGGAGCTGGAAAGCCAAGACTGAAACTTTATCTCTTGCTGCCTGTGATACCACATTGACATACCAGAAGAATATTGGAATGATCAGTTGTTAGTGGCCTAGGATTTTATTTGCCTGTTGAGACACAGCCATAATAGATGTTAAGTCTGTGATTCTTAGACTTTTCAGGTGATAGAGTACCTGGAAGTCATTCATAATGATCGTTATAGAACATCATAACATTTCTACATTTTCAATTCTGCCATGATAGCTAGTGTATTTTTAATTTTCAATAAATGTAACCAACTTACATGAAGGAATGCAATATAAAATTATAATCAGTACATTTGTCCAACGTTTTCATTAGTATTATCACCTACTTATTCATCAGTTACTAATATTTCCTGTTAGAAAAGTGAGGCAGGAATTAAAGATTTTTTTTTAAGAAGCATGGAACCAAAACTTAAACTTGCTAAAAATTATTCATTAATCTTTTCTACATAAGTGATTATCCAGTTTATACTGCTACAAGGGCAAAAGTCTGAGGCAAGTGTTTTAAGTTAACTTTTAAAGGTACAAGAAGAAAATGAAAAATCCTCATGTGAAAGATGTGTATAATTTTCATGCCTTAATTTTCATAATATAAAAATAAAACATAATTTTAAAACAACCTGATAATTTTGTTTTGAAACATTGAAAAGAATGCCAAAACAAATATTAGATTTGTAATTAGTCAGTATTTAATATATTTTACCCATGAGCTAAAGCAAAAAAGACTCATTATTTATGATGCACAGGATTCAAAGATGCCTAAAATTCTGTATTAAAAACTATGTACACTGTAATTTAAATGTTAAAGTTCTAATATGCACATGTTTTCCATGAGCTTTTTGTGCCTATTTGTTTTCTGAATTTATTTTTCAGGACCAACATCCTTAACTTGGAAGGGAAAACATCTCTGATTTGAACTTGTATTTATGTACCATTCAATTGTTTCCAAATGGTCCAATGGGTATACCATATTTTACTACTCTTATATTTTACGGAAAACATGAAAAAGACTGAGAAACTAGCCATTTTTGAATACAGCAAGGGATAGATGAGGAAAGGAAAAAAGAAAGAATATTTCAAGTTTCAAACTACTTTTACCATGTTATATCTATTTGCCCAAACGTTTGACATATTTTTGGTCAAACAAAAAGCTATAAGTTTATGGAGCTTGAGTTTAAAATGTGCATTCTTTAGGTTAACTCTTAAACTTGAAAAATAAGTTGGATTCTATGAAAACGTTGCATTATATTTCTACAGCATGTAATGTTATGCCAAGCATGAGTCTAAAACAGTTTGTGTTCTTGTAAGCAGGATAATGTGTAATAATCCCTCTGAAATAATCTCAAGAAGAATGATATACCTTAAAACTCAACTCAAATTTACATTTGTTTACAGTGGGAATGGTTTTCTCTTGATAGAAATTTGGTTTTTGTCTCAAGTTTTGGTCTGTCAGTAAAGGCATAAATGAATATCCTAGTTTTTATTTGAAACATTGGTTCCAAGTATAGTTTCATATTTGGCAATAGATTCATCTTATTCTAATATGTTTGGAATAGCTTTTTGATTCAATGAGTCTAGGAAAATCTGTTACACATTGAAACCCAAGTCCAGAGAATGTTACACACTTCTAATATATGCATAAAATGATGGTAAAGGTTATTAAATCATTGATTTAAAAAGATGACTTTGATATAATTACTTTATGGGCAAAATTGTCCTCATTTAGAAGTGAAAAGTACTTTCACATAGCCTAGGCTATTTACAGTTCTGATTATATACATTTAGATATGTTGAATATGTTTTGGGGTTGAATATGTTTTGCCACATGAGCGCCTTCAGGTGGATGTATAAAATATTTTTTTAAAAACCAATTTCTTCTTCATTGTTGATGCTTTTCCTGACTACCAAGTTCAGGGCTGGTTTACATTTCATATTGTGAAATTTTCAAAACCAATGGTCTATTTATAAGCCAGAATTGTATTAATGAAAATGAATGAGAAAAATGTCCTTAAAGGTAAAAATCATTATGTAGCTAAATGAAATTGTGGCTGTGTGTGAGTACATTATAATATAATTTCCATCTGATGTGTATTTACTTGAACTCATCATTCCTTATGAATTCCTTAACCATTAAGAAAAAGACTAGATTAATCAAAGGAATTACAAATTATTCCATTTTTACAAAATACCCTGTTTCTATACTGCAAATGGCCATGTTGGGTATATGTCTATATACGCCTTACTTAGACATTGTATTGTATATAACCGTGTGTAGAACTATAGACAATAGTCACCAAATAGTTATTTAAATATTAATTTTCTTTATTAATACAACACATTTAATAAGTATCTACCTATGCCAGGCACTGTGCTAAGTTCTATTACTAAATAAAATTTGGTCCCTGTCCGAAGATGCTTGTGACCATTGAAAATTAGGAAAATGAATGCCCTCAGTCAGACAAAAAGTCAACAGCTGGATTTATTATTAGTACTTACCAAGTAGGCACAAATCATTGCATTTACAGACTTCACCAAATCTTTGTAGGGTATAAACAAAATGCTAATTTAATAAAAGAGGAAAATGAGGAGAGAAAGGTTAAGTAATTAATCCAACCTCATACAATACCCAAACTATAGAGCTGAAATTTGACATGAGCAATATTTGATTATAAAGCCTATGCAAGTCCACATAACCTTCTTTTAATTAGTTTAGGTCATTTTTCATTATTACTATTTTTAACGTAAATATTAAGTATAATTTTTACTGACTCAAGGTTTCTGGTTAACCAAACAGATAGATGCACTTTTCATCTAAAAAGGGAACTTATGTTACACTTTGTATTTTTTTTATTTTAAATTATGGGTGTGGTCCTATGGGAGAGGGAGAATATAAGGCAAATTTTCAAAAGTTTTGAGGCCCTGGTTGTCATTATTCATTCACTGATTCAGTAAATACTTGTTGACACTTCCATGTACCAGTTGCTATGCTAGGGATTCAGAGATTAACAAGACAGTCCTTGTCAGAGCCCTCATGAAATATTTTACTATATCAATATTAAACAAATGTATGCCAGTTAGATGTTGTGACTCCATATAAATGACTTACTTGTTTTGTAGTATCTTCTCAGCTCTTGTATTTTCTATCTAAGACCACTCTGTTGCAATTTAAGTGATAAGCATATTCTGGCAGCAGGATTCCCTCAATAATACACTTTTGGGCTTCACAATCTTCATGATCTTTAACTTGGGCTATTACAAGTTCCAACAAAACCAGTCCTTAGGACTATATCATCCTTTGCCAGTAGATGGTCCTATGTATTTAGCATGTTGTCTTGAAACCTAAGAAACCGCTTCTCAAGTTCAGATCATGTAAAACTAGCCAGTTTTATACATTCAAAGGTAAGTCTCGTATGTTACCACAAAACTCAGATAAACATAGCAGGAAAGTTCTAAAAAGCAAAAGAAAAATAAACAATTATAGTTGTGTTATAAACAAGGATTCCAAAGTTAATAATATTTAAAGTTACATAATTTGTCTCAGTACTTGTGACCCAATATAGAAACAAAAAGATTAAGTATTCACTTATGAGTTTTTATGTGATTTAATATTATACCTAAAAACAGATTATGTAGCAATGAAGCAATGAAATACTGATAAACATGAAATAATATTAACTTGGCTATATCATTTAATTTTAGTCAGTTTAATCCATATAAATAAGGGGTAACCTTATATATGAAGTATATTTAATTTGTATATATTAAATATATTAAATTTAATTAAAATGCATTGGACCTACAAATGTATAAAACTAAAGAATTTTCTGATGACTCACCTGGGAAGGTGCAAAAGAGGTCTTATAATCAGGTGACAGCTTATGGAAAGCTAATATAATGAGACCTTTTTCAACATGCAGATGCTGATATTTCCAGAGTGACAAAGACCGATGAAGCAATTGTCAAAGTCCCCTTTTTTAGGCTAGCTCATTGTTTATATGAGACAAGTTTCCAAGACTCACATAGGTAGGGTATAGATAAATGAGGTTAATGTAGATCCAAGCAGCTACAGATGCTCCTTGACCTAAGAGGGGGTTACATTTTGATAAACACATAGTAAGTTGAAAATATCATGAATCAAAAGTACATTTAATATACCTAACCTGCCAAACATCATAGTTTAGTCTCGCCTACCTTAAATGTGCTCGGTTGCATTACATTAGCCTACAGGTGGGCAAAATCATCTAGCATCATAGTGCACTGTAGAGTATTAGTTGTTTACCCTTCTGATCAGTGGCTGACTGGGAACTGAGGCTCACTGATGCTGCCTAGCAGTGCAAGAGAGTATCATACTGCATATCTCTAGCCCAGGAAAAGATCAAAGTTCAAAATTGGAAACTGGAAGTACAGTTTCTACTGGATGCATATCACTTCCACACAATGGCAAAGTTGAAAAATCGTAGGTCAAACTCTCATAAGGCAGGGACCTTCTATACATATATTTTACAACCTGACACACATACACACATGCACATGCACATACACATATACACACACAACCCCTTAGAAGTTTATTACAAAGCAGCATAAATATTTTGAGGACTTAAGTTACTGAATTCTTTTTTATTTTGGTAAAAAACACATAACATAAAATTTACCATCTTTAACATTTTTATGTGTACAGTTCAGTAATGTTAACTATATTCATATTGTTATGAAGCAGATGTTCAGAACTTTATCTGGCAGATCTGAAACTCTATGTCCATTAAACTCTCCTTTTTCTCCAACCCCTAGTTCCAACTAACCACCAGTCTACTTTGTTTCTATGAATTTGACAACTTTGGATACATTATATAAGTGGAATTATACAGTATTTGCTTTTTTGTGACTGGCTTATTTCATTTAGCATAATGTCCACAAGATTCCCCCATGTTGTAGCATGTGATAGAACTTCCTTCCTTTTTAAAGCTGAATAACAGTCCTGTACATGTATATACCATATTTTGCCTAATCATTTACTTGGGTTGCTTCAGCCTCTTGGCTATTGTGAATAGTGCTGTGTGAATATGGTTGTACGATTATCTCTTTGAGACCATGTTTTCAGTTCTTTTGGATATATACCTAGAAGTGAATTGCTGAGTTTTTATTTGTGTGTGTGTAGAATCTCCATCCTGTTTTTCCTAGCTGCTGCACTATTTTACAGTCCTACTAACAGTGCACAAGGGCTCCAATTTCTCCACATCCTTACCAGCACTTGTTATTTTCTACTTTCTGTATAGGAGTCAATCTAATGAGTATGATGTGATATCTCACTGTAGTTTTGATTTGCATTTCTCTCATGATTAGTGATATTGAGCATCCTTTCATATGTTGTTGGTCATTTGTATATCATCTTTAGACAAATGTCTTTTCAAGCCTTAGCCTGAAAAAAAAATTTTTTAATTAAAACTTGTTTCATGGTATTTAAGGCCCACCATGATCTGGCCTCAATTTGTTTTCTCTGCTTCCAAATAGCTGTTTCCCCTTATCCTTCCTCCATTCCTCTGTTCTTCATTCCCTTGACTGGACACAGTGGGTGTTCCCTTTTGCTTTTCCTCTTACTCATTTTATTTTCTCAGCCAACAATGCCCTTACCCTACCATCTTCATCTATCAAAACCCTATCTAGCTTCAAGGACATTTAAAATTTTTTTTCAGTTGTATATTTTCCTTTATTATGACTATAGAGGACTTTATTTCAAATCTTACCATTACATTTATCATATGCTACCTTTTATCATGTATCTTCCCTAACCACTCATTCATTCATTCAACCAATCACTATTTATTTGTCACATAATCTCAGACTATTCAATCTAAAATACTCCCCCAACCAGTCCTTCTTCAACACATTACCCAGTTTTATTGTTCATGTAACTTATTATTATCTCCATTTATCTTATTTATTTATATGACAATTGAATCTAACTTCATATAACCTCCACCCTTCTTAGACTATAAGCTCTGTGGGGTAGGAATCTTGCTTGTCTTATTTAGTTAGTATTCATGGCACCTAGAACAATACATGGCAGATAGGGAACACTTGAAAAGTATTTATTCAATAGGTGCCTAAATGCATGAGTGAACAAATGAATACAAATGGAGCAAAAAATAAAAAATGTGAATGAAAAAATAAAGGTTAATTTCTGAGAATGAATAAAATTACTGTAGGAGAAGAATATTAAAAAGTGCACTCACTCCTTCATATTCTTGTGTATTAAACCCACATTATTAGGTAAAATTATAATGTGCAGTTTTTTCTTTTCTGCTGAACAGAAAAATTAGGCATCTTGGGAATTTCATAATATTTATTTCATCTACTTTCTTTCCTCCTCTCCAGAATAAATTAAGAATTAACTCACTGGTTTAAATCTTCCCAACAGGATGGTGATAATAAAAGTTTTACAAACATTTCTTCTAATTCCTTGATTCAATAGAAAGTAGATATTACAATAACTATATAAATGGACTATCTAGCTCCATGTTTTCCTCTCTCTTTGAGTCCCCAAACTGTATATCCTTCCTCTTTCTGCTTCTTTGGGTAGCTCTCAACATCCCTCAAGTCAGGTGGACAGGTCCAGGAATTCATAGATCCTATACTCTTACTATTATCAAGCCAATGACCATAAAGAGGTCTTTCCTCAAATTAGAGTCTTTTTACTTTCTTTTTGTGTTTGTATAAAAAAAACTCAATGCCAACAGAACAACCTTACCCTAATGGCCACAAGACCTGATCACAACAATGAAAAGGTCAATTCACAGCAGAAAGCAAATTTTCACCAATAATAGAGCCTGTTAGAAATACAGCACCTCTTCTCACCACCAGCCTTAGGTATCGGCTTGAGTGATGATTAGGTACACTAGCTTTGGAGAAAGACTGCTTGGTGGGGTCCTGCCTCTGTTATCTCCCTGCTGAGAATGTTATATAACCTCTTCATGCCTCAGGTTTCTCATTTTTAAAATGGAGATAATAATGGCACTTACTTCATTGCATGTTGTGAGGCGGGAGAATCGCTTGAACCCGGGAGGCGGAATTTACAGTGAGCCAAGATTATGCCATTGCACTCCAGCATGGGTGATAAGAGCGAGACTTCATCTCAAAAAAAAATCTTACCTGAGATTCCTCATGGAACAGAGTCCTATCTAAGCCAAATTTTTGAAGGCTTTATTTTTAGGCTTTGTTAGTCTAAGTGAAAAATAATTACTCTTGCTGCACTTCATGCAAATAATCAGGCCAAGTACAGGAAGACTAAAGTTTATTTTGTAAACAAATTAGTTCTACCATGATTTGTTTTTAATAAAAATGGGGACTAGAGAGACAAAAATTATGCTTCAAAAGAAAAACTATAGTACACTGTTGTTAGCTGTTTTTGAGGTGTTTTTCTGCAGTTTAAGCTAAATTCTAAATTCTTTGTGGATTAGAAGTCCCCAAACTAATGCTTTCAAATCTTTGCTTTTAAAATTGGAAATTGTACTACTCATCCTAGGACTCGTTATTTACCTTACAGTAGGCTGTTCACTTAAACACTGTAGTAAAACTGTAGATAAGAGTACTAATGTTTCTGCCATGCAAGCCTTGGAAGCTCAACCAGGCCTGCATGAGTACACTCAGACAGTTGCAAAGCAGTTCCACTCTTCTCACCCTGGGGTTCACTCCCATTCCCACTATGTCTCCTGTCAGCAGGAAGAAGCCAGAGCGATCCACAGCCTTTTCCTATCTTCATAATCTACACCTTAAGATTAAGGTGTTATAAAACCTAAAGGGAGGGATTGAAACCACCTTTGCAAAATTATGACGGAGACAGTGAAAGAGATCTAACTTAGCTGACTCCATCTTGCTTCTAACCTCCAAGCTGTCCTTGTTCATTCCTGGGTGTAGGCTGAAATAACTTTGGGATAAACTTAGTTTATAGTTTACACTTTACACAAAGACAGTAACAGCCCTTTCCCAAAGCAGACCTCCTTCTTGCCTGGGGACTAGATTGTCTTTGTAGGATGAACATTAGCCACAAGATTAGAAATTATGGTTTACGAGTCATGTAGCTGGAGGCTACAAGATTCCTACCCTCCCTAAACTGCTCCTGAGATCAGTGCTTGAGATATTTTGCAGACCCTGCACTTGATGGATCAGCTGGCATCACCCAGATCAATAAACTGGCTCATCTGATCTCGTGGCCCCCACCCAGGAACTGACTCAGCACAAGAAGATAGCTTCGACTCTATGATTTTATCCCTGACCAATCAGCACTTCTGGCTCACTGGCTTCCCCCCACCCACCAAGTTATCCTTAAAAACTCTGCTCCCTGAATGCTCTGGGAGACTGATGTGAGTAATAATAAAACTCCAGTCTCCCACACAGCTGGCTCTGCATGAATTACTCTTTCTCTATTGCAATTTCCCTGTCTTGATGAATTGGCTCTGTCTAGGCAGTGGGCAAGGTGAGCTCCTTGGGTGGTTATATCATTAGAGAAGGACGTATAATTTTGTGGGAGAGGTAGTCCTTTTGAGTTAAAAGACCCCAAGTGTGAGCTGATAGAGGATACTGAACTAGTGCTCAGTGTCTGATGCATAGTAGTTACTTAATATATGTTTGTGGAATAAGTAACAGAATGACTGAATGAATCCATAAATAAAGTATTAACAGAAAAAAGGGAAAAGGAAATAGGCACATGCCAATAATAAAATTGCTTTCTTTGCAATTGGGCTAAGGTTCCAAACGTCAGATGGCATGTTGCTGAAATTGTATGGACTTTCTCTCTTTGCAACAGATCCTACTGGTTACTAAAGCCTGGATTGTATGTAAAATAATGTGTCCAAAAAGCTGAAACAAAAGCTGAAACACTAAGTTCTTCTCAATTCCGTTTCTCCAGTCCCAAATTTGCTGGTGTTCCTACACAATTTTAATGTGTCCACATCATGCTTATATCTTTCATACAATCCCCACAAAGGAAAAGGACATAAGAGAGCAAGGGACTTGGAAAAAAAGAATAATAAATAGAAAGATAAGGAAATGAAAGAGAGATGGTAATATATGACTGCAGCGGCAACAGAAATTATACTTAGAGAGGAGAGGAGTAATTCTGGAGACCTATGACCTATGACCAAGGGTCCAAATGTCACGCTGGCTTCCCTCATCTCTCTCTCATCTTCTCAGATGAATTTCCATGTTCTCAGGAAACTCTGGGCAGGTGAATATTGAAAATTCTCTGTCCTTATAATGGGATGAAAAATTGGATTTTATCACAATCTTTATTGATATTTTGACTTAATATGATAAGTCAAAAACTATACTGATCATACCCATCTGGCAAAATTCCAATCATGTGTGATCCTAATCACTGGTTCTCTTCATATGTGGAAAAGAGCAGCTGAGTGCTGCTGGAGCAAGTCACTCTTCGAGGTAAAATATTCACTATAAATTCATGATGATCAACTTCAAAAGATTTGTCAGCACCATTCAGCAATCCTCCTGTATTTCTTTAGTTCTCTCACTGTTCCACTCTGTACAACTGGTCTCAAACTTTTCCTGCTCTCTGAACAAGCCCAGTCCTCCCCTCCCTTCTTTTCTCACAGCTGATCATTGGCTGACCCTTTACATTTCTGCCACCAAACGTAAAAACTGACCCTTATCCTCATTCATTCTATACTTTGTCCCTTTTCATAAACATAGCATTGCCTATTTGCCTACCTAATTCAGTCACCCCTAGAACTCATCCATGACATCTTCTTGCTCTTCATACTCCACAGCCAATTCACCATCAAATCCTATTCATTGTGACCCCTAAATAACAGCCCTTGAATAAGTCCTCTTCTCTCCATCTTCACCATTATTAGCAAGGTTCAAGAATAACTGTTTTCTCTGACCTGGACTACTGCCATTGCTTTCTAACTAATCTCTCTACATCCATTCATTAACTCTACCAATTTATTCCTTTTTTTTTTTTTTTGAGATGGAGTCTCGCTCTGTTGCCCAGGCTGGAGTGCAGTGGCGTATCTCAGCTCACTGCAACCTCCACCTCTCGGGTTCAAGCGATTCTCTTGCCTCAGCCTCCTGAATAGCTGGGACTACAGGTTCGTGCCACCACAACTGGCTAATTTTTTGTATTTTTAGTAGAGATAGGGTTTCCCCATGTTAGCCAGGATTGCCTAGATCTCCAGACCTCATGATCCGCCCGCCTTGGCCTCCCAAAGTGCTGGGATTACAGGCATGATCCACCATGCTTGGCAATTTATTCTTTAAAATTTCTTTAATATTTTAAAATTTTATATTACACATATATGAAAACTTCATGAAACATAAACATCCAGCTCAATGCATGATCACAAATCCTGTTTAACCACCACCCAGGTTAAGAAATAGAGCATTTGCCAGCACTGCAGAGGCCCACCCTATGCTGCTTTCCTTTTAATTACCAGCCCTTCCCACTCCTAGTGCCATCACTATCCTGTCTTCTAACACCACATTAGTTTTGCCTGCTTTAAACTTTATACAGATAGGATCATATTGTTTACATCTTTCTGTCTGTATTCTTTTACTTAATGTTATGTGCATGAAGTTCATTAATGTTGTAGTGTGTAGTTGTTTGTTCATTCTCATACTATATGGTAATACTTTTACAGCACAATGTATTTATTCACTCTACTCTTGATAATCCTTTGGTCTGGTTCTAGTTTAGGGCTATTAAGAGGAGCATACTGCTGTGAACATTTTTATCCATGTCACGTGCTCCACATGTGCACACATTTCTCTTGAGCCCATCCATTCCAGTCGCAGTAGCCAGTGACCTTTTCCCACTGCAAATCTAATCCTGTGATTGTTCTCTCAATTACTTTTCATAACTCTTGGGAAAGACTAAAATATTTAACTTTGTCCATAAGCCCCTACATAATCTGAATTCCTTTCTCCTCAAGCCTCTTCTTGAAGCACACTTTCTGTGCTTCAGGTCATTTTTTCCTTTCCTGAAATGGGAGATGCTCCTCGCATCGCAAGAGTCTTTCACAGGTTATGACACTTGCCTGGAAAGCTGCCCCCTCACCGACTTTACTCATTTTTTTCTTCAGATTGCAGTTCTTTCTTCAATTCCACAGGGACGCTTTCTTAAACTCTCTTTTCCAGTTTAATTCTCATAACAGCACTGTCTTCTTTATATCATTTATATCACAGATGTAATTTTACTTTTCTTTAACATCTATTAGGTTGGTGCAAACGTAATTGCAGTTTTACTATTACTCTTTAATATTTCCAATCTCCCATTTCTATTTACACTACTAGATCATCAGTTTCATGCAGACAATTACTATGGGATTTGTTTGTTTGGCTCTAGATTTTCTCCTAGCCTTTTGCCTGGTCCATAGTAGGAACTCAAGAAATATTTGTTCAATTGTTTATGAAAACAGTGAAACTCTGTAAAATATTTGAAGACATTTATTCTGAGCCAAATATGAGTGACCATGGCCCATGACACAGCCTTCAGGAGGTCCTGAGAACATGTGCCCAAGGCGGTTGGTTGCAGCTTGGTTTTATACATTTTAGGGAAGCATGAGCCATCAATCAAGTACATTTAAGAAATACATTGGTTTGGTCCAGAAAGGTGGGACAATTCAAGCTGGTGGGGGAAGGGAGGGTGTTTAGGCAATTTAAACATTTTCTGGTTGACAATTGGTTGAGTTTTTCTAAAGACCTGGGATCATAGAAAGGAAATGTTCAGGTTAAGACAAAAGATTGTGGAGACCAAAGTTCTTTTGAAGTCTCATAGTGGCTGCCCTTAGATACAATAGATGACAAATGTTTCCTATTCTGAACTTTAAAAAATGCTAGACTCTCAGTTAATCTCTTCAGAATTGGGAGGGCCTAGAAGAAAAATATCTAGTGCTGTCAATAGAGATTCTTTACAGATGCAAATTTTTTTCCCACAAAGGATAGCTTTGTAGGGCCATTTCAAAATATGGCAAAGAAACATGTTTTGGGGTAGAATAATTTGATGTTCTTCTTTGTCACGTAATGCTATGCCAGAGTCAGATCAGAAAGTAAGTCAGGATACATAGGGTTAAATAAAACCCATCTGATGAGAATTTATGGTTTGTAAGGTATGACTCCCCAGACCCCTTAGGTAGGAATTTGGGCAAGATAAGAAAAATCAGAGCTTAGTCCTCAGAATGAATGAATTAATCAGATCACCACTCTTCACTATGTGCAAGGGCTATAAGTAAGAATTAAGGTTAAGTATCAGAGAATTGGCGTAGAGTCACTAAAATGTTTTCTAAGGGGATTATTAAAAACAAGAACAACAGCCCTTGCTGGATGGCCGGCTGTTAGGTGGGCCAGACGATGTGGTCTGACAGACCAACTGTCTGTGAGCACTCAGTGCACAGGAAACCTGGATCAATGCTCCACAGAGGCAGGGGACAGGCAATACTATGGTGTGAGGTGAACCTGGATTTGAGTCATCACTCTTCCACTTAATCTCTGTGTTACTTTGGAAAAATTAGAAAGCAGGAAACCTTGGTGGCAAGATAAGCTGGGATCTGGCTCTTGACTATAGCTGTCAGTGTGTTATAATGCTGTTATTATAACAGCCTGGCTGCTGGAACCCCCAGTAGTAAAGTGAAATAGTCAAGGCTCCCCAGCACAGACAATAGCTACATTGACCTTGAGTTTAAGAAAAGCCCTCCCATGATCTCTTATAAGGCACTGCACTTGGTACTGTGCTGTTTTTGATTAATGCCTTTCTCAATATCATAGGCTCCTTCTTGCTGGTCCACTACATCAGCAAGGGTGGGGCAAGTGTCGTTCCAGTCCTGCTCCTAGGCATTCTGGTGTTCCCATTGAGATTTTAACTCCTACAATAACTTTCCAGATTTTGATGACTAGCACCCACCTCAGCCCTGAGGAAAAGAGTCTCAGTGGGACTGCCCCAGCTTTAAGATATTGAGCAGAAAACTATAGCTAAAGGGCTAAGGAATCCTGTAGTTTGCATATGTTTAACAAAACAATAACCAGATTTTACGGGCCCATCCCAAAGATATTAACTGAGCTTACAATTAGCTAATTAGGACATGTTCTGTTTCCCATCTCTTGACCCTGGCAAAAGCTCCTGCCAAGTTTTTCAACAGTAATATGCATGATGGAAGAATAGAAATACTAACTATGAAAATGAGAAGTTATTCTGTGTCGAAAGTGTTGCTGTCACCACCCTCTTTAGAGTTAAGCATTTCTTTTAGTCTGCACTGTCAATTTGTTTTTGTACCAAATGGAAGAATGCAGTATGTCTAATTTCTTATTAAGAGGTAACTGATTTTTGAAATATCAAAGTATCTTATTGAAGGGTTCTTGTGTAAGTTCGAACCCTGAGAGTGCGCCAACAGACAACACGAGGTGGTGTGGAGCAACATGCTGTTTTAATGAGCGCCTGGGTGCAGGCGGGCTGAGGCCTAAAATGGCATCAGCCCCAAGTGAGTATGGGACAGGGGTTTTATAGTCCTCTGTAAACAGGAAGTGTCCCAGTCTGACCTGACTGCTACATAGTACCCGCACGGCGTCTTTCTCGATCTTCAGATCTTCAGGGGTACGTGTTTTCCAGCCAGGGTAGCTGTCTTCCGGCCAGGGTAGGTGTCTTCCCGCCGGCTCTCTTCCCGCTTCTGCTATCTTGCTGACGCACCCTGTTGACGCAAGTAGCCTTGCGCCTTGGGACTGGGTCTGCGAAGGGAGGAGTTACTCATCCCTTCAAGCTTTCAGGCCCCAGGGAGAATTTCTCACTTATCCCCTATATTTATCTCTAACTTCATGTTTTAATGGAAGACGTTGGCAAAATCAAGTATCAGTGTGGGTTTGTTACCAGTGGAAGGTGTCCAGGTTCTTGGCGTCTTGAACAAAGAATTGGACAAAATGCACAAACAAAGCAAGGAAAGAATGAAGCAACAAAAGCAGAGATTCCTTGAAAATGAAAGTACACATGCCTGTAATCCCAGCACTTTGGGAGGCCAAGGCAGACAGATGACTTGGGGCCAGGAGTTTGAGACCAGACTGGCCAACATGGTGAAACCCCATCTCTACTAAAAATAATAATAAAAAAAATATCCAGGCATGTGGCAGGCACCTGTAGTCCTAGCTACTCGGGAGGCTGAGACAGGAGAATCGCTTGAACCCTGGAGGTGGAGGTTGCAGTGAGACGAGATGGCTCCACTGCACTCCAGCCTGGGAGACACAGCGAGACTCCACCTCAAAAAAAAAAAAAAAAGAAAGAAAGAAAATGAAAGTACACTCCACAGTGTGGGAGTGGCCCAAGCATAGGGGCTCAAGAGCCCCATTACAGAATTTTGGGGGGTTTAAATACCCTCTAGAGGTTTCCATTGGCTACTTAGTATACACGCTATGTAAATGGAGGATATTTCCTGTCATAGGTGAAGTGTTTCCATTTGATTTAGTTATAGGAAGTCCTTAGGTTCCCTGCCTCCAGACCCTATTCTCCTGCCTCATTCTGATTCATCTGTAATATTTTTTACTTACTTTCTTATTGATAGCAACCAGGAATTTTTTTATCCCACAGAGCAAGTTTTTAAAATGTAAACACTTTCTCTGTTTACCAGTTCGTGGTCAGCTCTGGATCTGGTCTACCAATAGGTTGGACAACATATAATTTGCATCATTTTGTCCTTGTAAATCAAGGTGTTCTGTAGATCATGCATTTAAAGACTGGACTTTTGGTTGTTTCCTAATGAAAAATGTACATAAGTGGTTATTATTCTGAGTTTATAACTCAGCTAGCATTATTGCTAGCACCTTGTTTTATGATGTCATTCTGATAATGATTGAAAGACTCAGCCTGGATCCTTGGATCCCTGGAGGACCAGATTGCTTTATTTTGATTCTGTTTTTTAGCTTGTAAAAAGGTGACATATTCAAAAGAAATGAAAATGTTAAAATCTAAATCCTAGATTTAAAATGAGTTAACTTTAAACATTTCAGACATCATTTTAATGATTTTATGATATATTCAATCCTAATATCCAAATCTATCTTCATTTTTAGGCAGCTGGCATTATGGGTCACACTCTACTTTCCAGTCGTTCTTTTACTCAGGTTATAGACTGGCACAACTAGAAGCCTGGATATACCATCAACTGAGATTTGGAAGGCTATGGTAGAGCAAGTTTTAGGGGGAAGATGAGTTCAGTTTTGCACAAGTTTAATTTTAGGTGTCTACCTGATATCCAAGTGGAGCTTTTGAAGAGGTAGGTGCAATGCATGTGTGTGTCTAGAGTGCGGAGGGGGTCTAGGAAATTTGGACAATCTCCTAAGAGTCAGAGGGCAGGGTGAGATCACCAGTGGAGTGAGTGCACACAGAGAAAAAAAAAAAGAGGACTCAGGAAATGAGGCACAAAGAGAGAGCGGCCTGAAGCAGCCTCCAAGTTTAGGCACATTTGGTAATGGAGGGTAGCCTGGGGAGTCCAGTATTAGTCACATCTACTTGGCAATGAAGATGTGAGACAATATACATAAAGCTTTATCATGGGTAGTGTTTGCAATGCAAGGCTCAAACCAGAAGGTTTTTAGCCTAACCAAATTAATTGGTCCTTTTTATGAAGGTGATGCTGCTGGCCAAAAAACAAACACACACACTCAATCAAAATGGAACACAGGGGTATAAAATGAAAAGTAAACATTTAGGGGGATGGAAAGTGAACGTTTTCTCCTTCAGCTCACCTCTCAAGGTTGTCCAGTTAAGTTTCTTGTATACGATTCCTAAAATGCTCTAAGCACCTAAACAAATATCTGTTTAACAAACAACAACAACAACAACAAAAACTCTCCTCCCCATTTTACTAAAGCCAAGAATTCCACAGTATAGTCATTGGTTCCCGTTAAAATCAGAATTTAGCATGTTCAATGTATATAAAAGTGTTAGCTTAATTTTGCCAAATATAAGAACCGGTTTATGAACAGTTTATATGTGCCTTTTCTTAAAATATAACTTAAGCATGAGAATATATTTGACCCTTCCATATTTGGGAGCTTCTGGCTGCTCAGGCCCCTCTACTGCAGATCTAAGACACAGTCAAAACTCTCAGTGCCACCAGAGTTTCTGTGGTAGAATTGTCTGGGGTCTGATACATTCTCAAAAATATCAAAGCAACATTATTTAAATGAGAGAATGATGTAGGGAACAAATAAAAGTGAAATAGAAAACATCTTTCTGGACACATGGCCTCTGTGTATATGTGTGAAAAGTAGATGAACAAATATATAAGGTTTCTTCTGGACTGTGTATTTTACATGGAATTTTCATTCATTCTTTATTTTATTTTATTTATTTATTTTTGAGACGGAGTCTCACTCTGTCGCCCAGGCTGGAGTGCGGTGACGCGATCTCGGCTCACTGCAGCCTCGCCTGCCAGGTTCAAGTGATTTCCGGCTAATTTTTGTGTTTTTAGTAGAGACAGTTTTCACCATGCTGGCCAGGCTGGTCTCAAACTGCTGACCTCAAGTGATCTGCCTGCCTCCGCCTCCCAAAGTGCTGGGATTACAGGCATGAGCCACCGCGCCTGGCCTCATTTCTTTATTGTTTAAATTTTTAATTTATACTTTCAATAGCATGTAGTATTTACTTAAGGCTACTTTTCAATTATGGCATTATATTTTGTATTAGTTTCCAGGTAAGTATAAACACTTGGCATAGTTTGTGTATATTTTAGAATGAATAAGTGTTGAAAATTAAGAGATTACAGTATCAAGTTGCTTGGATATCTAAGTACAGACAAATTTCAATTCGTTGAATGTTAAAGCAAAAAAAATTTATCTAAGATATTTCGAATTTAGAGATTATACATTTTTAATTGAATATGTTAACTATGTAGATTTATTTTGGACTATTTGTAGATTTTATGTAGATTTATATTTGGACTTTATTTGAAGTGAATTAACAAAAATAATCTACAAACTACCTTTGATACTAATGGAGATTTATTTGCCCTCACATATGTCTTTTTTAATAAGTAGTTTGAAAGTCAGAAAACTTTTAAAATAACATAAAATTTATTTTTTAACTATAGATTTATAGAGAGGTCTAGTGATTTGAAAAACATAACAATTACCTGTTTGTGTTTGTTTAAATATGTAGTTTCCTTATTCTTAAAGTTAGGAGTTAGATTAGATGCTTTTTAAAGTTTTTTCAACATTTTGTGATTACTTAATCCCACCGTCTGATTCCAAATGTGGTCAGGGAGAGTGGATTGGATCTTGTTTGATAGCCCTCTAGTGGCTATAACTTTAAAGGGGCACAATATTTAAGAAAGAAAAATTGTTCCAGAGAAAAGAAAATCCATTTAGAGAAGCAAAAGGGCCAGGAAGGACAGAAAGGAAGTTAACTAGATAGTGAGACAAGCATTAAATTAGAGGCCAGTGTCAGACAGCGCAAGCCAGGTAGACAACGAGATATAAAGTCAATATTTTCTCTTTGTTTTCTTTCTTTCTTTCTTTCTTTCTTTCTTTCTTTCTTTCTTTCTTTCTTTCTTTCTTTCTTTCTTTCCTTCCTTCCTTCCTTTTCTTTCTTTCTCTTTCTTTATTTCTTTCTTTCTTTCCTGCTTTCCTTCCTTCCTTTCTTTTCTTTCTTTCTTTCTTTCTTTCTTTCTTTCTTTCTTTCTTTCTTTCTCTTTCTTTCTTTCCTTCCTTCCTTCCTTCTTTTCCTTCCTTCCTTCCTTCCTTCCTTCCGTCCTTCCTTCCTTCCTTCCTTCCCTCTCTCTCTTTCTTTCTTTTTTTCTTTCTTTCTTTCTGGGTCTCCCTGTGTTGCCCACATTGGTCTCAAACTCCTGGGCTCAAGGGATGCTTCTGCCTTGGCCTCCCAAAGTGCTAGGATTACAAGTGTGAGCTGCCATGCCCGGCCTAGAGTCAATATTTTCTGAGCATGCTTTGTACTAGGAGCTTTTCACATATTTTCTCACTTTATCTTTACAAAAACTCTATGAAGCTGGTGTAAGCCCAATTTTTACAGGCAGAGAAACTAATGATAGGAGGGGAAAATGACATTCCAGATCACACAATTAGAAACTCTAAAGCTGGGATTTGATTCCAAAGTCAATGCTCTTACCATATCATGTAACAAGTGAAGTTTCAAATTGTGTTTAACTGAAGATAATAAGTTGGGCAGAAGTTGTCCTTTATTCCTTACAGCATTGCAGCCTCCTGTTGGCTCAACAACTGGACTGGCAGGGGCATGATGGATGTGACAGGGCCACCACCCTACTGCACACCTATCCACCTACTTATGGTTCTTGTGAAACTGGAAGTAAGGGGTGGAGTTCACTGATGACTCCCAGGTTCATAGCTGCTAACATAATGCATTAGCTTAAAATGGGTGGAGAAAAAAAAACAGTAATACTATCACAATTTGTGATGAAGGAGTTGTTTCTATACCCCAGGTTCTGCAAAGCACACTATTCACATGCACCAATTTTTTATCACTTTCGTTGAGATTCATTCCTATCATACGCCTTCTGTTTCTTATTTTTCTTTATCTATTTTCATAACATGTAATACTGTATCTATAGCCAAAGGCTAGAGATGGGCTGTGTTTGGTAAAACACTACACTGGTTCCAGGCAGTACCTAAAGATGCTGTGAATAGTTTTAGGGATACTTCTTGGACGATGAAACAAGACGTGTTAGGGAGTGCCTATTAATTTCTAAAGACTGTTTTACAATTGTTACAAAACTAGAGATTATGACATTCTAAAGTAATTTTTAAAAAATATTTGAATATACCCCTAACACAGGGGTTAAAGAAGAAAATTTTCCACAAGGTAGATCTCACTATAGAAAAACCTCTACATGAACATCTGAATGAAAATGTGAATAGGTTGTTTTTTTCCTTAGAAATATTGTGAGGTATGAGAAAAGTCCTAAGAGCTCTTAATTTAGATTATGTTCTCAAGAAACTATTAATTCATTCATCTCTTTCAGGGCTCATCAATTGTTCTGCCTTTTAATTTATTTGTATACTTCTATTATCCCTTTACAGAAAAAAATGAATCTCTTTTGAGGAAATGGATTGTTTTGCTCATTATGATAGTTTTATTTTCAATGGTAAAAGTAATAAGCATATTTAAAACAGGTTTTAAAAAAGTCAAGATGTATAAGGAAAGCACTCATAATCTCTCTTCTCTTCAATCTTATATGCCATGTGAATAAATTGGTAAGCATTCATACCTTTCTCTATTTTCTTTTTTTGTTTTTGTTTTTGTTTTTTTTTGAGACAGAGTCGTGCTCTTGTCACCCAGGCTGGAGTGCAATGACACGATCTCGGCTCACTGCAATCTCCGCTTCCCAGGTTCAAGCGATTCTCCTGCCTCAGCCTCCTGAGTAGCTGGGATTACAGGCACCCGCCACCACCCCTGGCTAATTTTTGTATTTTTTTTTTTCAGTAGAGACGGGGATTTGCCACGTTGGCCAGGTTGGTGTCAAACTCCTGACCTCATGATCCACCCACTTCAGCTTCCCAAAGTGCTGGGATTACAGGCGTGAGCCACTGCATCTGGCACTTTTTCTATTTTCATACCAACATGTATAGAATTTATTTACTTCTGTTTACTCCACATAATTCTGTAACTTAAAAACATTTTATCTAATATATTATAGATATTTTCTTTTAAAACATTTGTTTCTAACTTGTTCTTTTTGTAAGTGCCTACTACTTTATAAGGTGGTGCACTGTTCCACTGTTGATCGGTATCTTAATTGTTTCCAGTTTTTTTGTAATACTGCTATCAAGACTGCGATAGACAGCTTTGTCTACGTGGCTTCCATGCTGCTAAGTGTATTTCTGCAGAATAGCTTCTCAAGAGTGGAATGGAAGAATTAATATACATTGCCAGATCTTCTTCCAAAAAGATCGTAGCATTTCCTACAGTAATGCATGAGTGCCAATTTGTCTCCTTTGTCCCCAGTAGGTAATATATATTATCAATCTTTTAAGTTTATCAAACTGGCAAAAAAAATAGAACCCAATTATTCTTTACTTTGTATTTGTGTGATTATTGGAGATGTTGAACAGCTTTTCAAATGTCAGATGTCAGCTTCACGTTTTAAAGTTCTATTACCTAGCACAATTCTCTTTCATTTCAAGCCCTGCCACTATTCTGAGTCTTTTCAATCCACATGTGAATAACTCATCTAACTACATGGGTCGTTTTATGCCTTGACCTTTTCATCTCTAATGATATTCATCTCCACCCACATGAGCCATTCACTTCCATGGCCACAGTTGAACTTTGTCATCATCTAGAACTGCTTGAACATCTGAACTTAAAGTCAGATACCTCATTTTGATGCCTTCTTTCTACACTTCTATTTCTCAGGTACTCCCACAATACCTGTTAATCCACCTAATTGAGGTTTCCAGTCCCATCCATCTATTCTCTGTAAGTAGATCATCTCATAAGCAAGAAAAAAATCTTTCAACACTGTGGCAGTCAAAGCTTTAGAAAACAGTGCTCTCCTCAGTCTTCTTTGGGAATACGTAACGTTCAGCGATTTTTCAATCCAGGCGCCCCTGGGCGGCATTTGCGAATATATGGGTTGTTTGGGGTTGTCACAAAGACTAGAGGTTACTACTTGCATTTAAAATATTGTACAGACTTCCAATGATGCTATATGTCTTGCAAAATCTGGGACAGCCCCTCACAAAAAAGCATGATTCCACCCAAAATAGCAACAATGGCCTTAGTTAAGAAAGACTGAACTCCCTTAATAATCTGATCAAAGAGAGGAATGAAGATGTACATAAAATTTTCTTTATAATGTAAAAGGTTTTACTGATCCGTGAAGTCCAGCCAGAGAGAGCAGATTAAAAACTCCTGCCTAAACTTTGTACTGTTTAAAAATATGGTTGGCAGCATTTACCTGTTTCAAAACTTCCTCACATTAGTCTTTCTGTCATACAAGAAGCTGCAAAATAAACTGCTCCTCCTTTTCTGGTAGAAGGTCAAAACGGTCTAACAAGTTCCCTCAAGCCTCCTTCTTAAGGGCATTAATCCCATCCATGAGGTCTCTGCTCTCATGATTTAATCACCTCCGAAAGACCCTCATCTTTTAATACCATCACTTGGCTGATTAGGTTTTAACGCAGCAATTTTAGAGGAACATGAACATTCAAACCATAGCAGAAACTAACTCATTTTATTAATGGACACCAAAGACAGAGCTGACCACCCTCCTGATGACAGAAAAATCCTATAAAATGCAACCCTCCTACCCCCACTAGAATGTAAGCTCAACAGGGCAGGTTTTGTTCACGGCGGTATCCCTATATATAGAAAAGTGCCTGGAATTGAAGCTTGATAAATATTTGTTGAATAATTTGATAATATATGTGATTAAGATGCTGCTTGAATCTATGTGTTGCAAAAGTAAGTTTTTATTTCACATTCAGAAGTCACTGAATTGTAGGTATTAAACTAACTGTTAACCTGGCCGGGTGCAGTGGCTCACTCCTGTAATTCCAGTACTTTGGGAGGCCGAGGCGGGTAGATCACTTGGGGTCAGGAGTTTGAGACCAGCCTGGCCAACATGGTGAAACCCCCATCTCTACGAAAAATACAAAAAATTAGCTGGGCGCCTGTAATCCCAGCTACTTGGGAGGCTGAGGCAGGAGAATCACTTGAACCTGGGAGGCAGAGGTTGCAGTGAGCCGAGATCACGCCATTGCACTCCAGCCTGGGCAACAACAGTGAAATTTCACTTCAAAAAATAAGTAAGTAAGTAAGTAAGTAAGTAAGTAAGTAAGTAAGTAAGTAAACAAACTGCTAAACAGCCCAATAAAACTTTGCTTTAGCTTGGCAGCATGCTAAAATTATTTTGACAAGAGTTTTAAAAGAACTAGGAAAGATAGTAAATTAAGGGCTTCAACAAATCTTAAAAATCTTATTTTAAAGGTTAATGTGGATTTTTTTCTGATGCAAGAAAACCATTTGCTATACAGAACAGTGAGGTATTATGGAAATTCTTAAATCTTAACTCTTAAATCCACTATTGGAATTATACAAAAACACTTACAATAATACACTGGCTATTGAATACCACTGCAAAGCCCATAAGAGAATTCGTACCTTGAAAGAAGATAACTGAATCAAGGAGTTTATTATGATGATGTATTATGAAAAAAATCAGGCAGTATTGGTTATGAATCCCATACAGTACTGTCCATATTTTTTCCTTCAGTTAAAGGTAAATGTCTGATGAAGAATACATTTTTTAGCAAAATTTGCAACATGTTAGCATTTTAAAATATCTGACCCATAATTCAACTTTTAAAAATCATATTTTCTCATATACTTGTAGGATTTTCAGGCATGAATTTTCAAAGACACACTGTGCCACTGATGAGAAACTAATGGTTTCCTGACTAATGCTGGCTCATTGGAAATGCTCTATTAAGAACAATGGGTTCAGGAAGGGGCACAAAGTATGGGTCAACTGGCTCTGTTCTGTTTATAATCTTGCCACCATCCAAAGAAGAAAGGAATCTGGGCTGAGCGCGGTGGCTCATGCCTGTAATCTCAGCACCTTGGGAGACCAAGGCAGGTGGATCACCTGAGGTCAGATGTTCAACACCAGCCTGGTCAACATGGTGAAACCTGGTCTCTACTAAAAATGCAAAAATTAGCCAGGTGTGGTGGCTCATACCTGTAATCCCAGCTACTCGGGAGGCTCAGGCAGGAGAATCTCTTGAACCCGGGAGGCAAAGGTTTCATTGTGCCGCCACACTCCAGTCTGGGTAACAGAGTGAGACTTCGTGTCAAAAAAAAAAAAAAAAAGGAAAGAAAGAAAGAAAGAAATCTGCTTCTAATATACCAAATGTTAACATTTACCAGATTTGGAGGGTTATTTTATCTTTGTACAAAGTGGTGGAATCATGAAACACTTAAGAACCCAAACTAAGCCAGGCGTGGTGGCTCATGCCTGTAATCCCAGCACTTTGGGAGGCCGAGGTGGGCGGGTCACAAGGTCAGGAGATCGAGACCACCCTGGCTAACACAGTGAAACCCTGTCTCTACTAAAAATAAAAAATAAAAAAATTAGCCGGGCGTGGTGGCAGGCGCCTGTAGTCCCAGCTACTTGGGAGACTGAGGCAGGAGAATGGCATGAACCCAGGAGGCGGAGCTTGCAGTGAGCTGAGATCATGCCACTGCACTCCAGCCTGGGTGACAGAGTGAGACTCTGTCTCAAAAAAAAAAAGAACCCAAACTAGAGCCAAACAAGCCGCATTCAAATTCCAGTTCTGCCACTTACTAGCTGTGTAACTTTAGGCTTCACTTTTCTCACCTGTAAAATGAGGAAAATTGGTGTATTAAAATGGTTATTGTAAAAATGCAATGGCTTGATACATGTAAAGTGCCTAGGACAAAACCTGGCACACAGATACTGGTATGAGTATTTGCTATTATTATTACTTTACTATAAGTTTAAAATCTCTCATAATTTGAAAAATAAAAGGAAAGGAAATGCCATGTAAAGTTAAACTTTCTCCACTGACTCTGATAATTGAAGGCAGAAGTTAAGTTTTCTGAGAGGAAATTTTGTGGTTATAGATGAGCACTCAAAACATATCTTGCCCTTATTGCTAGAGGTTTTAAACAAGGTATAATGGATTTTTAAAAACTCAGTAAAATAATTTGTGTCCTGCATGTGGAAAATGCACATGTCTACTAGGGGCTTAATATATTACAACTAAATTACATTGAAGTTTACTCAAAATATATGCTTCATCTTAGAAGCCACAAGAATTTCAGTGGTTGCATAAAAGTTTCTTATTGGCTATCATGGGCATAATTTTGCACCCCTTTCTGGTTTTGACTTTATACCACTTCACCTTTGCTAACAACAAATATTTACATCCTATCCCCTGCAGCCCCACTTAGGTTTATGAAGAATTCCTGTGCATTATCCTATAGCATCCTCAGACCACATGATGTAATAAGAGGGAAGCTTCATGATGGATGAAGGAGTAGGGGAATTGGGTTGAAGGAAGGGGCCCAGTAATTCAACAGGGCCCCCAGTGCCAACTATGTTATGTATCAGTAAACAGCCTATGTGCAGATTTTTAGCAGGACATATCTTGTTGTGATCCTTAACCTACTTAATGCTACATTTGAGGAAAATGAATGGTTAAGGAGGCTCTCCAATCTTACACAGTGAAGCTGAGCCTTAAACAGCAGTTCTTGGACTCTGAAACCAGTGCTCTTTGGCTATGTCCCCACCCAAATCTCATCTTGAATTGTAGCTCCCATAATTCCCATGTGTTGTGAGAGGGACCCAGTGGGAGATAATTGAATCATGGAGGGTGGTTTCCCCCATCCTGTTCTCATGGTAGTGAATAAGCCTCACGAGATCTGATGGTTTTATAAGGGGAAACCTCTTTCACTTGGTTCTCATTCTCTCTTGTCTGACTCCATGTAAGACATGTCTTTCACCTTCCACCATGATTGTGAGGCCTTCCCAGCCACCTGAAACTGTGAGTCCATTAAACCTTTTTTTCTTTGTAAATTACTCAGTCTCGGGCATGTCTTTATCAGCAGCATGAGAACAAACTAATACAGTGAATTGGTACTGGGTAGTGGGGCACTGCTGTAAAAATACTCAAAAACATAGAAATGACTTTGGAACTGGGTAACAGACAGAGGCTGGAACAGTTTGGAGGGCTCAGAAGAAGATAGGAAAATGTGGGGAAGTTTGTAACTTCCTAGAGACTTTTTGACTTGCTTTGACTAAAATGCTGATAACACTGTAGACAATGAAATCCAGGCTAAGGTGGTCTCAGATGAAGATGAGAAACTTGTTGGGAACTGAAGTAAAGGTGACTCTTGCTGTGTTTTAGCAAAGAGACTGGTGGCATTTTGACCCTGCCCTAGAACTTTGTGGAACTTTGAACTTGAGGGAGATGATTTAAAGTATCTGGCAGAAGAAATTTCTAAGCAGCAGAGCATTCAAGAGGTCACTTAGGTGCTGTTTAAAGCATTCAGTTTTAAAAGGGAAACAGCATAAAAGTTCAGAAAATTGGCAGCCTGACAATGAGATAGAAAAGAAAAATTCATTTTCTGAGGAGAAATTCAAGCCGGCTGCAGAAGTTTGCATAAGTAACGAGAGACCAAATGTTAATCACCAAGACAATGGGGAAAATGTCTCCAGGGCATGTCAGAGGTCTTCACAGCAGCCCTTCCCATCATGGCCCAGAGGCATAGGAGGGAAACATGGTTTCATGGGCCAGGCCCAGGGACTCCTGCTATGTGCAGCCTAGCCACTTGGTGCCCTGCATCCCAGCAATCTAGCCATGGCTAAAATGGGTCAGGGTATAGCTCAGGCTGTGGCTTCAGAGGGTGCAAGCCCCAAGGCTTGGCAGCTTCCACATGATGTTGACCCTGTGGATGCACAGAAGTCCAGAATTGAGGTTTGGAAAGGTCTGCCTAGATTTCAGAGGACATATGGAAATGCCTGGATGCCCAGGCAGAAGTTTGCTGCAGGGGTGGGGCCCTCATGGAGAACCTCTGCTAGGGCAGTGTGAAAGGGAAATGTGGGGTGGGAGCCCCCACAGAGATTCCCCACTGGGGCACTGCCTAGTAAAGCTCTGAGAAGAGGACAACCATCCTCCAGATCCCAGAATGGTAGATTCACCAACAGCTTGCACTGTGCACATGGAAAAGCCACAGACACTCAACATCAGCCCATGAAAACAGCCAGGAGGGAGGCTGTACCCTCCAAAGCCACAGGGGTGGAACTGCCCAAGACCATGGGAGCCCACCTCTTGCATCAGCATGACTTGGATATGAGACATGGAATCAAAGGAGATCATTTTGGAGCTTTATGATTTGACTTCCCTGATGGATTTTGGACTTGCGTGGGGCCTTTAGCCCCTTCATTTTGGCCAATTTCTCCCATTTGGAATGGAGAATCCATTCCTGTCCCCCATTGCGTCTAAGAAGTAGCTAAATTACTTTTGATTTTACAGGCTCACAGGCGGAAGGGACTTGCCTTGTCTCAGATGAGACTTTGGACTGTGGACTTTTGAGTTAATGCTGAAATGAGTTAAGAATTTGGGAGACTGTTGGGAAGGCATGATTGGTTTTGAAATGTGAGGACATGAGATTTGGGAGGGCCAGGGGCAGAATGATATGGTTTGGCTTTGTTCCCACCCAAATCTCATTTTGAATTTTATTTCCCATAATTCCCACGTGTTGTAGGAGGTACCCAGTGAGACATAATTGAATCATGGGGGTAGTTTTCTCCATACTGTTCTTGTGGTAGTGAATAAGTCTCAAGAGATCTGACAGTTTTATAAGGGGAAGCCTCTTTCACTTGGCATTCATTCACTCTTGTCTGCCTCCATGTAAGATGTGCCTTTCACCTTCTGCCATGGTTGTGAGGCCTTCCCAGCCATGTGGAATTGTGAGTCCATTAAACTTCTTTTTCTTTATAAATTACCCAGTCTCAGGTATGTCTTTATCAGCACCATGAGAATCCACTAGTACAATATTTACTTCTCTAGTTAGATATCATCCTAAAGATAATGGGGTTAAAGGAGTATGTCAACAATGGAACCAGAACCAAAATAGTTTTTCTATTATATCTGGTTCAGGCTAAGATAGCTGGTAGCTCTTGTCTAATTTACTTCCACAAATATTTTTGGGTGGCTTTATTTCATTCCCCAGTAATTTCAGTTCAAAACAGTCATTAGTACATTCTGAGAGACTTTATGGGTCACATAGAATATACACATGTAGGTATGTGTGTTTTTACAATCTAAGATGTGTGCAAACATACCCATGTATTTGTATATGTATGCATATCTTATAATGTAAATCTCATTATTTTCTCTACACCTCTCCTGTCATCTCCTTTATTCCCCTCCATACCTATCAGAAAATAGATGCATAGCCATAGAATCATGACAGTCTAGTGAATGTCTAGCAAGTTCTTAAATTAGACAGAAGAAATCAGCTCTACATACAATGGGGTGGCATTTTTTTTAAAAAAACACTTAATCAGAAATAATAATAATTGTGAAACATAAAAAACAATATTTTAGCCCAAAAACTGGGATAGAGAAGATTAATGATTTCTAGGAATAAAAGAATCAGAGCTGTGGATTCTAATCTCAATTTGCCATAACTCACTTGTATGACTTTGGGCAGGTCATGGAACCACTCTGCATTTTATTTTCTCATTGACAAAACAAGATTGACAATACTCACCCTACTTCATAGGAAAGATATTTGGATTATTTAATTAGTGATTGTAGAGTGTTACTAAGACACACTATGTAATTATTATTGAACTGGTATCTCCTCCTATGTATTCAGTGAGAATTTTATTATTACCTCTCTAATTATGGTTGAAGATTTCATATAAAGCTTTCCACTTGCTCTTCTTCCTCATGAAAGAGACTTTGCAACATCATCTTTGTGTTAAATATAGTAGCTTATTTTTTCTAACTACACCTTGAGAAAGGATTGTTGAAACCAATAAATAATACCTCTGTGTGGACACATTAAGATCTGTAATAAGCTGTTCCCTCCTACTTCAGGCCTCAATTAATTAGCACCTCCACCCAATTCAGTAAAACCTTCTGTAACGGAACTATCACATTTGATTTTGGAACAACTTCAAAAGGTTTCAGTCAGCTAATATTTCCCTACTACATATAAATTGTGATCAAATGACCTTTACAGTGAAAATATTAGACTTAAAATCATGAAGTGAATTGAGAATTGGAAATCAAAATCTAACTTCAATAGTTGATATCTGTATATTTAGGTAAGTAATTTCTTAATGTTGTCCTTTTTGTTTTATTTTTGATTATAGATATCAAACTAAATAAAATAAGGTTTCTCAAAACTCGAACTGTAAATCCACATTTGCAATTTTTTTTTTTTTGAGTTGGAGTCTTGCACTGTCACCAGGCTATAGTGCAATGGCACCATCTCAGCTCACTGCAACCTGTGCCTCCCAGGTCCACGTGATTCTCCTGCCTCAGCTTCCCGAGTAGCTGGGATTACAGGCACCCACCACCAAGCCTGGCTAATTTTTTGTATTTTTAGTAGAAACAGGGTTTCACTATGCCGGCCAGGCTAGTCTCAAACTCCTGACCTTGTTGTGATCCACCTGCCTTGGCCTCCCAAAGTGCTGGGATTACAGGTGTGAACCACTGCACCCGGCCTCTGCAATGCTTTTTATAAATTATAAAGTTTTGCATAAGGTTACATTATTATTATTATTGTTATTATTGTTATTGTCTTGTCATTGCTGTGCCCCAAAAAGTCCTGCTAAGGGGTTATAGTCTATTTCCCTCTGTCAGTCTCCCAGAGATCAATTGACTTTTTAAAATTGTGCATCATATAATGCAATGTCTTGCTCTGAATGGTAATCTGGAGTCTTTCAAAGGAGGTGATGCTCCTTTATAGAATACATCTCAGAACGTGTGACCAACATTGAGTCCAGAGAATACAAGTATTACAAAAGTACCTAAAATAAATACATTACATGGACTTGGGAAGAGCTTCAGGAATCTTCACTGCCATTTCTTACAAGTGAAGCAATTTCATTTGTTTTCTCTACTTTACAATCCAATTCACATTCATTGACACCCCAGAGCTGAGTCTTATCCAATTAAGGATGCAGGGAAGTGTCCATGAATCCACCTTGTCTGCCAGAAAACTGCAGAGTCAGGATTAGGATTGTGGCCTCTTGGTGGCATATAGCTCTCCAGAATAGGATTAGAGAACCACTAATGGGAACACGAAGGTAAGTGGAGTTTGCAAGTTGTGCCTCAGGTTGCACTGAGTCTCAGTCCGCTCATAGCCTGGTGATATTTTCAGAGGTTAGACATATTGTTTATGAATCAACATAGGCTTAGTTATTCGCTTTTTCAATGTGTTTATAAGTCTTACAGAGAATGTTAACACCTGTCTATTTTTTCACTAAAGAGATTATTTAAATTAGCATACTAGCTTTGTGTATAGCTGGAGGGTAACCTCTACACCAGGTCTAGAGATGCACACAGGTGTAAAGAAGGAGCTCAGGTAATGATTCACCCACAAGTTCTTTACTTGGTTACTTTGAGACATTTTGCAGTTGTGGTGTCTTTCACATCACAAAAGTCAGTAGAACGCCAGCAACCTATACAAAATTCTAATGGCCTCAAAATTAGCCTATTAACACAGTCACCAGGACCTTTTAAAAAAAAATGTACATTTCTAGGTTCCACTCCCTGGAGTTCTATCGTAATAGGTAGAGGGTGAAGACTGAGAATTGATGAGTCAGTTGGAGAAAACACTGCCCTATTCTTGCCTTGCTTTCTCCGAAATAGTATCATCATCATCACCAAGATCATCACCATTTACTGCCAGTTTATTATATGCAATATGCTATGTAAAGTACTTTTCATTTAAATATGTGAAATCCTGACCAGTATTAATACATATTTTATCCATTTAACAACAAGAAAACTGAAGAACAAAGATTAAATAATACAGAAACCAAAGGATGGACCTAGAATTAAAACTCTAGTTTGTTCAACTTCAGAGCTTTTGTTCTTTAATGCCACTTCATACTTGACTCTGAGCAGAAGTTTTTATTTCTTCAGTCTTGCTACTGCTCTTTTTTTTCCAGCTTCTTTCTTAAGAAATTTTAGCTTAGCTTTTCCAAGCAGTTTTGCAAACATTTCAAGTAAGTTTGTTAAAATAATTTTCTTTATATTATACTTTCTTTAAGTTCTGGGATACATGTGCAAAACATGCAGGTTTGTTACATAGGTATACATGTACCACATGGTTTGCTGCACCCATCAACCCATCATCTACATTAGGTATTTCTCCTAATGCTATACCTCCCATAGGTCCCCACCCCTTGACAGGCCCCAGTGCTCCCTGTGTCTATGTTTTCTCATTGTTCAGCTCCCACTTATGAGTGAGAACATGTGGTGTTTGGTTTTCTATTTCTATGTTAATTTGCTGAGAATGATGGTTTCCAGCTTCATCCATGTCCCTGCAAATCACATGAACTCATCCTTTTTTATGGCTGCATAGTATTCCATGGTATATATGTGCCACATTTTCTTTATCCAGTCTATCATTGATGGGTATTTGGGTTGGTTCCAAGTCTTTGCTATTGTGAACAGTGTGGCAATAAACATACATGTGCATGTGTCTTTATAGTAGAATGATTTATAATCCTTTGGGTATATACCCAGTAATGGGATTGCTGAGTCAAATGGTATTTCTGGTTCTAGATCCTTGAGGAATCACCACACTGTCTTCCACAATGGTTGAAGTAATTTACACCCCCACCAACAGTGTAAAAGCTGCTCCTATTTCTCCACGTCCTCTCCAGCATCTGTTGTTGCCTGACTTTTTAATGATTGCCATTCTAACTGGCATGAGATTGTATCTCACTGTGGTTTTCATTTGCATTTCTCTAATGACCAGTGATGATGAGCTTTTTTTCATATGTTTGTTGGCCACATAAATGTCTTCTTTTGAGAAGTGTCTGTTCATATCCTTCGCCCACTTTTTGATAGGGTTGTTTTTTTCCTGTAAATTTGTTTAAGTTCTTTGTAGATTCTGGATATTAGCCATTTGTCAGATGGATAGATTATAAAAATTTTCTGCCATTCTGTAGGTTGCCTGTTCACTCTGATTATAAGTTTCTTTTGCTGTGCAGGAGCTGTTTAGTTTAATTAGATCCCATTTGTCAATGTTGGCTTTTGTTGCCATTGCTTTTGGTGTTTCAGTCATGAAGTCCTTGCCCATGCCTATGTCCTGAATGGTATTGCCTAGGTTTTCTTCTCTACTCCAGAAAACTTGTCACAAAACCTTGAAAATAGATATTTTTTGAGTTGACGAGATGTATTCTAGGTCAGAGTTTTTTATGCATACTTTCCCCCAATTTTCTCCTTTGAAATTAATTATTATGCTAATCTGATATATATCTAAAAAGTCTCGGCCAGGCGCGGTGGCTTACACCTGTAATCCCAGCACTTTGGGAGGCTGAGGCAGGTGGATCATGAGGTCAGGAGATCGAGACCATCCTGGCTAACATGGTGAAACCCCGTCTCCACTAAAAATAGCAAAAAATTAGCCAGGTGTGGTCGTGGGCGCCTGTAGTCTCAGCTACTCGGGAGGCTGAGGCAGGAGAATGATGTGAACCCGGGAGGCAGAGCTTGCAGTGAGCCAAGATCACGCCACTGCATTCCAGCCTGGGCAAGAGAGTGAGACTCTGTCTCAAAAAAAAAAAAAGTCTCATGGCACACACAATACTTCTATTCTGTGTGTTGCATGGCACACACAATACTTCTATTCTGTGTGTTGCAATGTTAAAGCCAAAAGAAAACATTTTTGTTCATAAGTGGTACCAAAACTCAGATTCTTTTCCGGTGAGATTTATAGTAGAGGTAGCTAATAAAAATGTGTCTTAAATTGTTATGGTCATGATTAAAGTACAAATGTTAGTTACTGATATTTAACTGTGTGTTCTACTGGGCCTTGGAAGGCTTAAGCCTGTTCTCAAAATCTCCTCCCCACATAACAAATTGTATTAAGAGCAAAAGATAATAAGACAATTCTTTTTTTTATTTTTTAAATTTTTTTGAGATGGATTCTCACTCTGTTGCCCAGGCTGGAGTGCAGTGGCATGGTCTCGGCTCACTGCAACCTCCACCTCCCAAGTTCAAGCAATTCTCCTGCCTCAGCCTCCCGAGTAGCTGGGACTACAGGTGCATGCCGGCATGCCTGGATAATTTTTTGTATTTTAGTAGAGACGGGGTTGCACCATGTTGCCCAGGCTGGTTGTGAACTACTGAGTTCAGGCAGTCTGCCTCCCTCGTCCTTCCAAAGTGCTGGGATTACAGGCCTGAGCCCCTGTGCCCAGCCAGTAATAAGACAATTCTTAAACTTTTTGCTACATCTTTGAGAATTAAAAAACCAAAACACTGGTTCCAGATTTTTGAAAAAGAAAAATAACACACACACACACATACATACATTGATGCATACAGAATAAGGATTTCAAATTTGTCTTTGTTGTGTAATTTTTGTTAATACATATATTCATACATATTTATGTAGTATATGTGATATTTTGTTACATGCAAACAATGTGTAAGAATTAAGTCAGTTTTAAAAATATCTATCACTTGAACATTGATCATTTCTGTGTGCATTTACCAATTTATGGAATAAATTAGGAGGAATTCCTTCCTCTTCAATTTTGTGGAATAGTTTTGAGAATTAGTCTTAGATATTCTTCATAAGTTTGATAGAATTCAGCAATAAAGGCATTTTGTCCTGGGCTTCACTTTGTTGGGAGACTCTATTACTGATTTAATCTTGTTACTTCTTATTGATTTGTTCAGGTTTTCTCTTTCTTTCTGATTCAATCTTGATAGGTTCTATATGTCCATAAATAGAATTTATCCATTTCCTCTGGGTTTTCCAGTTTGTTAGCATCTAGCTGTTCATGGTAGTCTTTGATGACCTTTTGTATTTCTGTGGTATCTGTTGTAATGTATCCTTTTTTGTTTCTGATTTTGTGTATTTGGGTCTTCCCGCCTTTTTTCATGGTGGTTGTAGCTAGCAGTCTATTGATTTTCTTTTTGTCTTTTCACAAAACAACTTTTCATTTCATTGATACTTTGTATGTTTTTTAGTCTCAATTTTGTTTAGTTTTACTCTGATCTTTATTATTTCTTTCCTTGTACTAATTTTGTGTTTGGTTTTTTCTTGCTTTTCTAGTTCCTTGAGGTGCATTGTTAGGTTGTTTATTTGAAATCTTTCTCTTTTTTTTTAATATAGGCATGTATTACTATAAACTTCCCTGTTGGCACTGCTTTTGATGTATCCCATAGGTTTTGGCATGTTGTGTCTTCATTTTCATTTGTTCAAGAATGTTTTTAAAATTTCCTTCTTAATTTCTTCACTGACCCAGTGGTCATTCAGGACTATGTTGTTTAATTTACATATTTTAAAGTTTTCAAAGTTCTTCTGTTATTGATTTCTCATTTTATTCCATTGTGGTCTGAAAAGATATTTGATATTATTTTAATTGTTTAAAATGTGTTCAGACTAGTTTTGTGGCATAACATATGTTCTATCCTAGAGAATGTTCCACGTGCTGATGAGAAGAATCTGTATTCAGGAGCTTACGGATAAAATGTTCTGTAAATATCTGTTAGGTTCATTTGGCCTAAAGTGCCATTTAAACACAATGTTTCTATGTTGATTCTTTGTCTAGATCATCTGTCTAATGCTGAAAGTGGGGTCTTAAAGTCCCCAACTATTATTGTATTGAAGTCTTTCCCTTTAGATCTGATAACATTAACTATATGAATCTGGGTGCTCTGGTGTTGGGTGCATATATATTTAGAATTATTATATCCTTCTGTTGAATTAATTTCTTTTCTTTTTTTTTTTTTTTTTGAAATGGGGTTTCTCTATTGTTGCCAAGGCAGGAGTGCAATGGGACAATCTTGGCTCACTGCAACCTCCGCCTCCTGGTTTTAAGCAATTCTCCTGCCTCTGCTTCCCAAGTAGCTGGGATTACAGGCATGTGCCACCACACCCTGCTAATTTTGTATTTTTAGTAGAGATGGGGTTTCTCCATGTTGGTCAGGCTGGTCTCAAACTCCCGACCTCAGGTGATCCACCAGCCTCAGCCTCCCAAAGTGCTGGGATTACAGGTGTGAGCCATCACACCCAGCTGAATTAATTTCTTTATCATTATATAATGACCTTATTTGCCTCTTTTCACGGTTTTTAACTTAAAGTCTGTTTTATCTGATATAATTATAACTACTACTGCTCACTTTTGAGTTTCATTAATGTGGATTAACTTTTTCCATCTCTAAATCTATATGTGTTTTATAGGTAAATTAAGTTTCTTGTAGGCAGCATGTAGTTCAGTCATTTAAAAAAAATTTTTAAGCCAGTTTATATCTTTTAAGTGGAATTTTTATTTACATTCAACATTATTGATATGGGAGAACTTGTTCCTGTGATTTTGTTCATTATTTTCTAGTTGTTTTGTATGTGCTTTGTTCCTTTGTTTCTCTCTTACTGTTTATCATTGCAGGTTGGTGGTTTTCTATAGCGGTAATGGTTGAGTCCTTTCTCTTTTTCATATGGGTGTTTGTTCTACCAGTGACTTTATATTTTTTGTGTGTTTTCATGATGGTAGATATCATCCTTTCACTTCCAGATATAGGATTCCCTTAAGCATTTCTTGTAGAGCTGATCTAGTGGTGATGAGTTCCCTCTGTTTTGCTTGTCTGGGAAATATTTTTTTTCTCCTTTATTTTTGCAGGATAGTTTTGCCGGGGATCATATTCTTGGCTAATAGTTTTTTTAATTTTAATTTTTTGTTTTTTGGCACATTGAATATATCATCCATTCTCTCCTGACCTACAAGGTTTCTGCTGACAAATCCACTTTTAGTCTGATGGAGTTCCTTTATATGTGACTACTGTCTTACTGTCTTTAGAATTATCTGTCTTTGACTTCTGACAGTTTTACTATAATGTGCCTTGAAGACCTTTTTGGGTTGCTTCCATTAGGGGAATCAGATATCTGGATGTCTAAATCTCTTTTGATTGCTTTTTGGCATCCCATGTGTCACATAGGCTTTCCTCAATTTTGTAGAACCACATCTTCAATTTTGTAGAACCACATTTTCTTCATCATTTCTTCAATTTTGTATGAAGCACATTTTCTTCATCTATTCATCTGTTGATGGACACTTAGGTTGCTTCCAAATCTTAGCTATTGTGAACAGTGCTGCAACAAACAGGAATGTGCATATCTCTTTGATATCCTGATTTCCTTTCTTTTTTCTTTTTTTTTCCTCTTTTTTTTTTTTTTTTTTTTTTTTGAGACAGAGTTTCACCTTGTCGCCCAGGCTGGAGTGCAATGGTGTGATCTCAGCTCACTGCAACGTCTGCCTCCTGAGTTCAAGTGATTCTCTTGTCTCAGCCTCCTGAGTAGCTGGGATTACAGGCTTGCGCCACCATGCCTGGCTAATTTTTTCTATCTTTAGTAGAGACGGGGTTTCACCATGTTGGCCAGGCTGGTCTCGAACTCCTGATCTCATCATCTGCCCACCTCAGCCTCCCACAGTGCTTGAATTACATGTGTGAGCCCCCACGCCTGGCCCTGATTTCCTTTCTTTTGGGTATATAATCAGCAGTGGGATTGCTGGATCACATGGTAGCTCTATTTTTAGTTTCTCAAGGAACCTCTGAACTGTTCTCCATAGTGGCTGTCCTAATTTACATTCCCACCAACAGTGTACAAGGCTTCACTTTTCTCCACATCCTCAGCAGCATTTGTTATTGCCTCTCTTTTGGATATAAGCCATTTTAAATGGGGTGAGATGATATCTCATTGTACTTTTGACTTGCATTTCTCTGATGATCAATGATGTTGAGCATCTTTTCATATGCCTGTTTGCCATTTGCATGTCTTCTTTTGAGAAATGTGTATTCAAATGTTTTGCTTATTTTTTTTAATCAGAATATTACACTTTTTTCCTATAGAGTTCTTTGAGCTCCTTATATAGTCTGGTTATTAACCCCTTGTTAGATGAGTAGTTTGCAAATATTTTCTCTCATTCTGTGGTTTGTCTCTCCACTTTGTTGATTGTTTTCTTTGCTGCACAGAAGCTTTTAAACTTGATGTGATCCCGCTAGTCCATGTTTGCTTTGGTTGCCTGTGCTTGTGGGGTGTTGTTCAAGAAATTTTTGCCCATCCAATGTGTTGGAGATTTTCCCCAGTGTTTTCTTGTAGTAGTTGCATAGTTCAAGGTCTTTTATTTAAGCCTTTAATTAATTTTGATTTTATTTTTGTATATGGTAAGAGACAGATATCTAGATGCATTTTTCTGCACATGGATGTCCTGTTTTTCTGGTATCATTTATTGAAAAGGCTGTCTTTCCCCAGTGTATATTCTTGGCAACTTTGTGGAAAATGGGTTTTCTGTAAGTGTGTTGATTTGTTTCTGGGTTCTCTATTCTGTTTCATTGGTCTATGTGTCTGTTTTATGCCCGTACCATACTGTTTTGATTACTATAGCTCTGTAGTATAATTCGAAGTCAGGTAATGTGATTCCTCCAGTTTTGTTCTTTTTGCTTAGAATAGCCTTAGCTATTCAGGGTCTTTTGTAGTTCCATATGAAGTTTAGGATTGTTTTTCTGTGTCTGTGAAGAATGTCATTGGTATTTTGATGGCAATTGCATTAAATTTGTAGATTGCTTTGGGTAGTACAGACATCTTAACAATATTGAATATTGATTAGTCCAATCCATGAACACAGAATATTTTTTCATTTTGGTGTCCTCTTCAATTTCCTTCATCAGTGTTTTATAGTTTTCATTATAGAGAGATTTTTCACTTCTTTGGTTAATTCCTAGATATGTAATTATATTTGTAGTGACTGTAAATGAGTTTACAGTTTAAATTTTTTTCAGATTGTTCACGGTTGGCATATAGAAATGCTACTGATTTTTGTATGTTGATCTTGTATCCTGCAACTTTACTGAATTTGTTTATCAGTTCTAATAGTTTTTTGGTGGTGTCTTTAGGTTTTTACAAATATAAGATTATATCACCTGCAAACAAGGACAATTTAACTTCTTCCTTTCCAATTTGGATGCTGTTTATTTATTTCTCTTGTCTCATTGCTCTAGCTAGGACTTCCCATACTGTGTTGAAATAACAGTGGTGGCATTGGACATCTTTGTCATGCTCCAAATCTTAGGGGAAAGATTTCCAGTGTTTCTCCATCCATTGTGATACTAGCTGTGGGTCTGTTGTAGGCTTTTATTATGTTGAAGTATATTCCTTCTAGCCCCAGTTTTTTAACAGGTTTTATCATGAAGGGATGTTGAATTTTATCAAATGCTTTTATCAGCACCAATTGAAATGATTTTTATCATATGGGTTTTATCCTTTATTCTGTTTATATAATGTATCACATTGATTGATTTGCATATGTTGATCCACATTTGCATCCCAAAGATAAATCCCACTTGGTCATAATGAATGATATTTTTCATGTATTGTTGAATTCGGTTTGCTAGTATTTTGTTGAGGATTTTTGCATCACTATTCATCAGAGATATTGGCCTGTAGTTTACCTCTTTTTAGATGTGTCTTTGTCTGGTTTTGGTATCGGGGTAATAATGGCCTCATACAATGAGTTTGGAAATAGCCCCTCCTTCTCTATTTTTTGGAATAGTATGAGTAGGATTAATAGTCGTTCTTTAAATGTTTTGTAGAATTCAGCAGTGAAGCCATAGGGTCTTAGGCTTTTCTTTGCTGAGGGACTTTTTATGACAGCTTTGATCTCAGTTATTGGTCTGCTCAGGTTTTGGATTTCTTCCTGGTCCAATCTTGGTAGGTGATACGTATCTAACAATTTGTCCATTTCTTCTCAATTTTCCAATTTATGGGCATACAGTTGCTCATAGTAGCCACTAATAATTCTTTGAATTTCTGCAGCATCAGTTGTAATGTCTCCTTTTTCATTTCCAATTTTTTAAATCTTCTCTTTTTTTTTCTTAGTCTAGCTAAAGGTTTGCCAATTTTAACTTTCCAAAAAACCGAACTTTTTTTCATTGATCTTTTATA
Organism: Homo sapiens; assembly: GCF_000001405.40. Taxonomy (NCBI): domain Eukaryota; kingdom Metazoa; phylum Chordata; class Mammalia; order Primates; family Hominidae; genus Homo; species Homo sapiens. The sequence goes on along the minus strand of NC_000012.12, from coordinate 39,514,750 downwards.
TTGTTTTCTTCATTTCAATTTCATTTATTTTTGCTCTGATCTTTATTATTTCTTTTCTTCTACTAATTTTGGGTTTGGTTTGCTCTTGCTTTTTTAATTCTGTAAGATACATTGTTAGATTTTTTTATTTAAAGTTTTTCTTCTTCTTTGATGTAGGCACTTTTAGCTACAAACTTCCCTCTTAGTACTGCTTTCACTGTATCTCATAGGTTTTGGTATGTTGTGTTTCTCTTATCATTTGTTTCAAGAAATTGTTCAATTTCCTTTTTAATTTCTTCATTGACCCACTGGTCATTCAGGAACATACTGTTTAATATCTATATATCTCTATAGTTTCCAAAATTTCTCTTGTTATTAATTTCTAGTTTTATTCTATTGTAGTCAGAGAAGATGCTTGATATTATTTCAAATTTTTTGAATGTTTTAAAACTTGTTTTGTGACCTAACATATGGTCTATCCTTGAGAATGATCCATGTACTGAGGAAAGGAATGTGTATTCTACAGTCATTGGATGAAATGTTCGGTAAATATCTATTAGATCCATTTGGTCTATAAGTGCAGATTAAGTCCATTGTTTCTTCACTGATTTTCTGTCTGGGACATATGTCCAATGTCGAAAATGGAGTGTTGAAGTTTTCAGCTATTATTGTGTTGGGGCCTATCTCTCTCTCTTTAGCTCTAATAGTATTTACTTTATATGTCTGGGTGCTCCAGTGCTGGGTGCATATATATTTAAAATTGTTATATCTTCTTGCTGAATTGACCCATTTACCATTGTATGATGACTTTTTTTTTTTTTGCCTCTTCTTTTAGTTTTTGTTGTGAAATCTATTTGGTCTGATATAAGTATAGCTACTCCTGCTCTTTTTGGTTCCCATTTGTATGGAATATCTTTTTTCATCCTTCTCTTTTCAGTCTCTGTGTGTCTTTATAGGTGAAGTGTTCTTCATGTAGGTAATACATCAATGAGTCTTGATTTTCATCCAGTCACTCTCTGTCTTTTGATTGGAGAGTTTAGTACATTTACATTCAATGTTATTATTGATAAGTAAGGACCTACTCCTGGCCATTTTGTTGTTTTCTGGTTGTTTTGTGGTGTTCCCTCCCTCCCTCCCTCCCTTCCTTCCTTCCTTCCTTCCCTTCTTCCTTCTCTCTTTCTTTCTTTCTTTTTCCTTCCTTCCTCCCTCCCTCTTTTTCTTTTCTGTTCTTTTCTTTTCTCTCTCTCTCTCTTTCTTTCTTTCTCTCTCTCTTTTTCTTTCCTTCCTGTCTTCCTTTAGTGAAAGTTATTTTCTCTGGTGACATGGTTTAGTTTCTTGCTTTTTACTTTTTGTGTATCCATTTTATGTTTTTTGATTTGAGATTACCATGAGGCTTGCAAACACTATCTTATAACCCATTATTTTAACCTGATAGGAACTTAACATAGTTTGCATAAAAAGACAAACAAGTAAAAAGAAAATAATAAAAATTCTACACCTTAACATTATCCCCTCACTTTTAAACTTTGTTGTTTCTATTTATATCTTATTGTATGCACTATGTCTTAAAACCTGTAGTTATTATTTTTTATTGGTTCATCGTTTAGTCTTTCGACTTAGGATAAAAGTAGTTTACATTGACAATTACAGTGTTATAATATTCTGTGTTTTTCTGTTAATTTACAATTATCACTGAATTTTGTATCTTCAAGTGATTCCTTATTGCTCACTAATGTCCTTTTCTTTCTGATTGAAGTACTTCCTTTAGTATTTTTTGTAGAACAGGTCTGGTGTTCATAAAACCCCTCAGCTTTTGTTTGTCTGGGAATCTCTTTATTTCTCCTTTGTGTTTGAAGTTTATTTTCATTGGATATACTATTCTAGTGTAAAACTTTTTTTTCCTTCAGCACTTTAAATATGGCATGTAACTTCCTCCTGGCTTATAATGTTTCCACTGAAAAGACTCCTGCCAGATGTATTGGAGCTCCATTGTATGTTGTTTTTTTTCCCTTGCTGCTTTTAGGATCTTTTTTTCTATACTTGACCTTTGGAAGTTTGATTATCAAATGACTTGAGGTAGCCTTCTTTGGGTTAAATCTGCTTGGTATTCTGTAACCTTCTTTTATTTGGATACTTATACATTTTTCAAGATTTTGGAAGTTCTCTGTTATTATCCCTTTGATTAAACTTTCTACCCCTATCTCTTTCTCTACCTCCTTTTCAAGGTCAATAACTCTTAGATTTGCATGAGGCTGTTTTTTAGATGCTGTAGGTGTGCTTCATTGGTTTTTATTATTTTTTATTTTGTCCCCTCTGACGGTGTATTTTCAAATAGCCTGCCTTCAAGCTCACTAATTCTTTTTTAAAAATTTTACTTTAAGTTCTGGGATACATGTGCAGAATGTACAGGTTTGTTACATAGGTATACATGTGCCATGGTGGTTTGCTGCACCTATCAACCTGTCATCTAGGTTTTAAGCCCCGCATGCATTAGGTATTTGTCCTAATGCTCTCCCTACCCTTTCCTGCAAACCCCCAACAGGCTCCGGTGTAGGAGATCTGTCAGGGTAGTGGGAAAAATTGTAGAAAGATGCAAACCTACTCAGAAGGCCAGAAGGTTTTACAAAAGCTTCGGAAAAGGATTTGGCTGAAGGCAGCCAGATTCTCTTATCAGAAGCCTAAAAGCTTAGGGCGTAGATACAAGGGAATGTGGAGGAGTTTTTCAAAAAAGCTTGTTTACTCATGTTATCTCTACTTGGGGGGTCGGCAATGTTATTAACCCACAAAGAGTGTTGACTCAAGCCTTTGTCATTAAATCTGTACTAAATAAATGCCCACAGCACCAGCTAGTCAGGGCTGCTGCTGCTGAGTCTTTACAGCACCCTTTTCTGTGTCTGTAGGTGGCCCAGTCCCCTAGCCCACTCTTTCACTGGGTCTGCATCTGAGTGTATTTGTTCATCTGTCATTTGGCCAGGGTCTGTGGGTCGGACCCAGCACTCCAGTGTGTGATGTTCCCCTCCTCGTGTCCATGTGTTCTCATTGATCAACTCCCACTTATGAGTGAGAACATGTGGCGTTTGGTTTTCTGTTCTTAGTTCTTTCTTAAGTTAATAAATTCTGCTATTAAAAGACTCTGATGCATTCTTCAGTATGGCAATTGCATTTTTCAGCTCCAGAATTTGTGCTTGATTCTTTTTAATTATTTCAGCTTCTTTGTTAAATTTATCTGGTAGATTTCTGAATTCCGCCTATGTGTTATCTTCAATTTCTTTGAGTTTCCTCAACACAGCTATTTTGAATTATCTGTCTGAAAGGTCCCATATCTCTATTTCTTCACGATTGTTTTCTAGTACCTTATTTAATTCATCTGGTGAGGTCATGTTTTCCTGGATGTTGTTGATGCTGGTAGATGTTCTTTGTTGTCTCAGCATTGAGGAGTTTGGTATTTATTTTAGTCTGCACTATCTGGGCTTCTTTGTGCCCATCCTTCTTGGGAAGGCTTTCCAGATATTGTCAAGAACTTGGGAGTTGTGATCTAAGCTGTATCTGCTTTAGGGGTCACCCCAAGCCCAGTAATGCTGTGTTTCTTTCAGACTCATAAAAGTACCACCTTTATGGTCTTGGACAAGGTCCAGAAGAATTTTCTGGATTACCAGGCAGAAACTCTTGTTTTCTTTCGGTATTTTTTTGTTGATATCTGCACATGTTGTATAATAGTGGCTTCTTCCAATTTTTTGAGTGGCTTTCACAGGGAATGACTTTTTCCTGAAGATCTATCTATGGTGTTAGTTAGTAGGACACTTTAACTTTGATTCTGTGTCTATATAGTCATGTAGTCTCCATACTATTTCTTCAGCTGTAAATATCATTAATGGTATCTGTGATTTCCTCAGTGGCTTAGGCTGCAGTTGTTAGCAGAGGCTGTAGTGAGTCTTTCCTGGGGACAGGGATACCAGATGGGTCAGTCCTCAAGACTCAGTGGTGACAGGGCCAAGTGTACCTGTCACTGGGCCTCCAAGTGGTGTACGCAGGCACCAGTGTTAATGGGTTCAAGCAGGCCAATTCTTGGGCCTCCAGACAGCTTGCTTGTGTTCCAACGGTCATATTGGTGGGTTGGGCTTGTGGGTGGGTCCTTGGGTACCTGGACAGCATGTATGGCATGGGCAATGGCAGTAACAGTAGCAAGACAATACTCAGGCTCCCAGGTAGCATATGCTGATGTTATCAGTGGCTGCAATCAAATGGGCAGGCCAATGTTCAACCCCCCCAGGTAATGTGTATGGATGGTGGCAACAGGCTGGGTGAACCCATCCTCAGGTCCCTGGAAAGAGTGCGCTGATGCCAGAGGTGGTAGATGGGGTGGGGAGATCTCCAGGCCTCCAGACAGCATGCTTGGGTCCCTGCAGTTGTTCTGCACCTGTTGTAAGTTTTCCTGGTGGTCTGTGCACACACCTGACTCAACCAATGGAATTGGGAGATCCCCAGGTGGCATGCCTGGGCACTGAGGGGTGGTGCCAGGCTGAGAGGGCTTATTCTCAGGTCCCCTAGTGGTGCACATGGGTTATGTTGTGCAGAATGGGGCTGTCCCCAGGTTCTTGGGCAGCAAGTTCAGGAGGCGGTGAGTAGAGGGAGCCTGTCCTCAGGGCATGTGCAAGTACACTGCAGCTGTCTCCTGTGGGGGGTGGGGGGCAGTGTTACTGTCAGTGGCAGTGGTCCTAGGCAGGTGGCTTTCAAGCTCTGGAGAGCAGGTACTTCTGCTTCCAGTGGCTGTGATGGCAGCAGCAGCAGTGGGTAGGGCAACCCTGTCCTTGGCTCTCTTTGTCCCAGGAGCAGCCACAAGGTGTGCTGCATTACTCATTCCCCAGAGTGTAAGACACTGTGTGGGGGAGAGTGCTGGGAACCAGGCCACACTACTGGGTCCAAACAGCATCACGCTACTGCAGCCCTCCAGGTAGACACAAGGGGATGTCAGTGGGGCTCCAAGGATTAGTACATGCAGGAGATGCTGGGCCTCAGGGGAGATGCAGCCTGGTGGGAGCTGGGCTCTCAAAATGGTGGTGTGCTGCAGCTGTTTGGGTCTCAAGGCATGTGTGGGACCTAATGTGAGCTCTCTATCTGGAGCAATGCTGTCATGCAGACTCCAGGCAACTTCCTATACTAGCCTCAGACTCCCCAAAGGTCAAGGAGCTCTCCCATGGCTAGAAGTGCAAGAGTCCATAGTGGGAATGTAGACCACTGGGGATCACTCACTTACCCTTTCCCTGTACTGAAAAGTCTCTCTGGTTCCCAGCTGATCTTGCCCCAGCAGACTTCCTTACTTCCCTCTCCTTCCTGGTTTCAAGTGTTTCCTCTGCTAAATTCCAGTGTTCTCCCTTAGATTCTCCATTTGAAGCATGGTTATTTTAGTTCTTATTTGTGCAGGAGGTGAGTGTCAGGTACCTCTAGTCAGCCATTTTCTATGTAAAATTTAAATGACTGGATTATTTGTTTGTATTATGGTTCGTATAATATGTGAATGTAATAGAACTCTTGAAGCAATGGCCCAGAAAAATTGGCTGTTATGACAGAAGATCCATTGAATCAACGAAAATTTCTTTTAAATGGGAAGACATCTTTTCCATTCTGGCGTTCATTACCCTGAACTGTCCTTATAAGCCACTTTTTTTTTTTTTTTTTTTTTTTGGTTAAGAAGTATTTATTGATCTCTATGTATGAAGCTTTACAGTAAATTCTGTTTAAATTAACTAGGTCAGTAAAAAAAAGGAACATAACTTTGCAATTCTTATGTTGTTTTTAATATTAATCTAAAGCACTATGACATGGTTAAAGGAATGTCTTTTTTTTCTATCTACTTATCCTACTTATTTTTTTCTATATACTTATCTACTTTATAGCTTTTTAATTTTTTTGTACAAGGACACAGAATTCATCGATTAGTGTAAATCTAGTAATAAAATATCATTTCAGTAGAACAAAGAATTTTAAAAGTAGTCATTTCAGCAAATGGCAAAGAGTTGCTATACATGTCAAGGCTTCCATCTTATTTCTCAATGTTTTTACCTTTAAGACCCAAAGCAAATATCACTTATTCGAATAACTGAAAATTAAACAATAAATTTTCATCAGATGTTTTCTGTTTTAGGTGAGCACTAGGTAACATGTATGGAAGAACTATCTGACATTATTACTAGATAATTGCTCCATAGTTTGCCCACTTTTGTCTACATAGTATAATTTGAAGGAAGGAACCTGTATTAATTGGGGTTCTTTGTCACAAACAACAAAGCTCATTTTAACCATTTTTTTTTTGAGACAGAATCTTGCTCTGTGGCCCAGGCTAGAATGCAGTGGCACAATCTCAAGTAACTGCAACCTTGGCCTCCCGGGTTCAAGCAGTTCTCGTGACTGAGCCACCTGAATAGCTGGGATTACAGGCGTGTGCCACCATGCCTGGCTAATTGTGTATTTTTAGTGGAGACAGGGTTTTGCCATGTTGGCCAGGCTGGTCTCAAACTCCTGACCTCAGGTAATTCACCTGCCTTGGCCTCCCAAAGTGCTGGGATTACAGGGTGAGCCACTGCGCCAGGCCCATTCTAACCAAATTTAAATAGCAAGAAATACATTAACATATCTTAGAAAGGGCATAGAATCTCTATGACAGTCAGAGAGCCTAAATCACATTGTAGAATTACTCCAATAAAGATCCCATGGCTCTTATTGGGCTTAGACAACCCCAACTTACACTACTGACCTTGGACACCATATACCCGAAATTCTATCATTGCTAGCCCCAAAAAACCACATGCTTCTGCAACCATCTTCTCTAGAAAATGTATTTTAAGTGATGCCTGCCACTTCACATTATTCTTTTCCAGCTGAGAGTTTCACATAAGTACACATGATTAGCAGAGCCAAGGTGGCTTGGCTATGACCTAGATTTCTAACTTGAGGAAGGATGTCAAAAATAATGAAGGTCAAAACATAAGAAGTATATACTATAGACCTTTTCCTGACCTGCCTGTCATAGGCTGCATTTATTGCTTTGTGTTAATTATCTTCTTGACATTGTTAGGTCGTCTTTCCAAAGCAAATACCCATTGAAGAGGTAACATAAAATCATGTACAACTTAATGCATTTTTTTCTCAGTTTCCTTTGCTTGAATGAGAAATTCTGGATGGTATGGGAACAAAGAATATATGAGAAAGAATGAAAACCCATCCACTGGTACAGAATAGTAAGGCAGGGTAAATTTTGATTACCCAAATTGTTTAGAATCTTGGATCCTAGAAGGGTGAAAGAAGCCCTACAATCTTTCTCCCCATATCATTTGAAAATGTATCAATGTATTTGTGCATTCAGTTGTTAGAAAATATTCTTCCAGTGGCTTGTAAAGATTATACCACTTTCACATCACAGAGCAAGTAGCTGGTTTTTTGTTTAGGTAACAACAGATAGTAAGATCTTGAGGAGCCCACTGAGTTACAGTGATCTTATAGTCCTAAACTTTACTAACTATAAAAATTCTATTCATAGGCTGGGTGCAGTGGCTCACACCTGTAATCCCAGCAATTTGGGAGGCTGAGGCAGGAGGATCACTTGAACCCAGGAGTTTGAGACCAGCCTGGGCAAAAATAGAGAGACCCCCGTCTCTACAGAAAAATTTAAAAATTAGCCATTCATGGTGACCCTCAGCTGAAGTCCTGGATACTTGGAAAGCTGAGGTGGGAGGATTACTTGAGCCCAGGAGTGAGAGCTTACAGTGAGTTTTAATCACATCACTGCACTCCAGCCTGCGTGACAGAGTGAGACCTTATCTCAAAAAAAAAAAAATCCACCCACTGTGACTGTAATAGCAGCAGAATATCCATTTTTCCAGGAAACTGCTGAGTAGAGCTCTGTGCCACAGTTCAGGCTCCCCAAGGAAGCCAAGGACAGCCAAGAATAGCCACAGAACAAATTGTGTCTTCTGATGCCTTCATCTCCCTTTCTGCATCCTTAAAACCCAGAGATTTCTCTTTTATCCATCTGAAGCACCCGGTGGTCTTTCACAGATATGTCCACCACAATCAAAAACCCATTTTCAGGACAGGATCTAGTGTTCATTCTATGGCAGTGACTTCCAAACTTTTTGACTGTGTTCTTCCATAAAGAATATATTTTACCTCATGTCCCAGTATATACATATGTAATTTAAATTAAAATATCATTAAATAATACCTTCCCTTACTAAGAAGAAAAAACACAGATATTTTCCATTCTATTTTATTTCATTTATTTTGTGTTTAAGCCAAGACCCAATAAATTGATTTCATAAACTTGTAGCTTAAAAACACTGGTCTCTGATGGTATAAATGCTTAATAGAATTAGTGTTTCCCCATTTAGTTATATTTTCATTTTAGCAAAAGATGCAAAGTAAGGACAAAGAAATGTATCTCAGCCACATGGTGGTTCACGCGTGTAATTCCACACTTTGGGAGGCCAAGGCAGATGGATCACCTGAGGTCAGGAGTTCGAGACCAGCCTGAACAACTTGGTGAAATCACCTCTCTACTAAAAATACAAAAATTAGCCAGGTATGGTGGTGGGCACCTGTAATCTCAGCTACTTGGGAGGCTGAGGCAGGGAGAATTGCTTGAACCCATGAGGCGGAGGTTGCAGTGAGCCAAGATGGCGCCACTGCACTGCAGCCTGGGTGACAAAGGACAGAGCCAGACTCCATCTCAAAAAAAAAAAAAAAAAAAGGAAAAGAAAAAAGAAATATATCTCTAACTGTGAAATTTTAGATACCAATAAGCTTATTCCAAAGGTAGTTTTGGAGAAGCAGGAAAAAAATTTCACTATTTCTGAATTCCCAGCATATAAGTTATCTCTTTTGCCTGTTCTATTTTTTATTAAAGTTTTCAGTTACAAAAATAATATATTTTTAATAAGAAACCTAGAAAATACCAAATAACTACAAAGTTATAAAACAAAGTTCACCCTAATCTTACCACCCAAAATAACCACTGTCAGCATTTTGCTTTCATCTGTCTAGTTATTTGTTATATATGTACTTACATATAAAATAAAAAGTTTAAACAGCTTGCATTTTAAAAGAGTATATAATAAATGTTTACATGTTAATAATAATGATGCTAATATCCCATTACAATTTAATTTTTAGCTGATAACAGTCTATCATATGGATGTATAATGTTAATTAAGATTGTTCCCAGTTTTTGAATTTTATAAATAATAAGCCATCAGTGTGAGCATGTTTCTGAATACTTCCTTGAGTTAAATTCCTAGAAGAGGTGCTTAGGGGTGAAGGATCCATACATTTAAAGTCTCTGATTTGGATATTGTCCTTGGGTTTGTGAGGTCAATAACACAAAATTCTTTATAGCAACTGGACCATCTTGAGTAGTGCTCAGCTTTCAAAACAAATAGTATATTTGTTGACATTTGGATTGTGATTAATAACTGAATCTCAAAGGCAGTTCTAAAAGGTAAAAGAAAAAAATGAGAAACCACAAATCCTTAATAAGCAACTGAGATAGGCATGTGGAAAGGAGTGTGGTCGCTGAGCAACCGTCAACAATGCAGAGCTCATTACAGGGGGTTGGGGCTGGGAAGGTATGAGCTGCCTCTGTGGTTGTGTTTAGAAGCTCACACCAACTTTAACACCATCTAGTATTATACCTCTTAGTCTTCTTCCAGTTCCTTTCCTCACTGATTTCCATTCTAGCCCCTGCAACTTTGAAATGATGTGCCCCCTCTCAATGTTCTGGCCGTAGTTAATCTCTTAATGAACTATGTCAGTTTTGCTTGCAAATTGCAACCTGATCATTGCCTCCCAATAAACATCTAATAATTTATTGGGGCATGTCAACCAGTACCTTATTATTATGACGTGTTAGAAGACCAGCATCTTCTACAAGCCTTACAATTCCCCATAATCTTGGACCATAGCAGAAAAGGGATGGTTTATTTTGAGGCAAAGATGAAGGGAGCTGCAGTTAGGGAAAGGGCAAGGAATTATCAAAGAAGAGAAAAATGGGCATAATAAAGATATCGTGTCAGTAGGATTATCTTTGTATGGGAGAGATTTGAAACAGTCATTCATTTCTTATTTATTTACTTATTCATTCACATTGATTCACATTTATTAAATCCCCATAATAAGGCTGTCAGTCACTGGAAAGTCAAAGTTAAATATCTCATAGTCAATTTCCTTAAGGAGCTCATTGTCTGAAAGATGAGCATCCAATATTTTTAGTTAGATCAAAACTTAGAAGGCAGGGGAAATGATAGAATGTTTCTCAGTGTAAAGTTCAGGTTGAGATAGAAGAAGTAGCATGATTGGCCAGGGCATTGGTTGGAGCTGAGTACAGTAGCATGCTGTGGTGCCTGTTGGGTACCCTGGACACTGGAGATCCTGGAATTGTATCCTAGAACTGCAATTTGGGATATAGTTATCACATGCACTTACAGAGTTAGCACTCAGTGGCATGTCATTGATATGCCATTAAGTTAAGTGCTACCAAGTAAGAACAATTATGCCTTGACTTCATGATATTTACATCATCGGAGCACCCAAAGGAGAGAAGTGATTTGTTTGATATTTCACAAAAGAATTATAAATAAAGCAGATGACAGATCTCTTATTTTTTTCTTTTTGAAAGGGTCACCCATTGTTTTGTCACCCAGACTGGAGTGGAATAGCACGATCATGGTTCACTGCAGCCTCAACCTCCTGGACTCAAGCAATCCTCTTGCCTCAGCCTCCCAAGTAGCTGAGAATACAGGTGCACACCACCATGCCCTGCTAATTTTTTTATTTTTGTTTTTTTGTAGAGATGTATGTTGCCCAGGCTTGTCTTGAACTCTGAACAATTCTCCTGCCTCAGCCCCTCAAAGCGCTGGGATTACAGATGTGAGCCACCTTGCCCAGCCAGATCTTTTAAGAAAGGTTATCAAAATGGATTAGGCACAATTGGGTTTATTCTAGAAGGCATCTTCCTGGGCCAAGAAGGAGAACTGCATAAAACACCATGAGTTAAGACTCAACTATCTTAGGTGAACAGTTAGTCTCCCTCCTTAAGTTACTCAGTTGTTCCTCTAGAGGAGCTGTACCATCTTCTTTGAAAACACATAGTGCAATGGTTAGTCATACTGGAAAGAATAATAGTGACAAATCAAAGGAAAATGCAATAGTTGAAATAACATTGCAAAATTATGATAAGACATAAATATTCCAGATTGTGCCACCAAAACCCAGATATTGAAAGAAATGATATTGGTAAAGTTTGTAAAGAGGCGTAGTATAAAATTAAGTTAAAAAATTATACTAAATACTCGTGCTTCTTTTTGGCTGTGCTCTACCCCTAGTTTTGTGATAACCAAGGTGTCACTACCTATCTCAAAAGGTGTTATGAAATTCTGTAAGCAAAATTAGTTTACTAAAATAAATATTAAGGAAAATATGCTTGACTGGAACTCATGAGATCTGGATCCTATTCTAGTTTGCCAGTAACTAGTGTGAATTTGAACAAACGAGTTCCCTTTCTGACTCTTGATTTCTTCATATTTAAGTTAGGGATCTGACTGATTTACACATTTCCATCCAATGATATAATTTTTTCTTTTTGCCCACCTTGGCCTCGTGTGTGTGTGTGTGTGTGTGTGTGTGTGTGCATGTGTGTGTATGTGTGTGGTGGGGCTTGGGGCTGGTATTAGTGACTTGGAAATCAGAGTTTGGTATCTCTCCAATACTGGCAGCTCATTATAACATGCTGAATAACCTCACACTTTCTTTGGTAAGAAAGGGAATGAAAAACTGTCTTGTAGCTGGGAAGGCCCGGAGAGTACTCAATAGAATGCAAGGAGGGGAGGGTTTTAATACTTATTCAAGGCCTGGGGGCAGTGAAGACAGGCTAGACCAAAGAAAATCAGGGAGCTTTCCCTGCATACCTTATTGTTTACTGAGGACCCCTGTGGATTTTTTCCCCCTTTCACACTGCTATCTGGCTTAAGAAAGTTCCAAAATGTTGCTTTTTTGGGATCTTGTGACCCCTCAAGTCATGATGCTAATTGCTTTACTTTAGCCTTGGCAGGAGCAGGTACCATACCTCTGCTTTTATGGTTTACAGCTAAACAAAGGCTTTTGTTCCCCCACCGGCCCCCTGCTCAGTTCTTCATAGGGCAGAACAATTTTTTTGTTGCTTTTTGGTTTTAATTTGAATAAATCATTTTGAGCTGCCATGAACACCCATTCCAAGCATACAGAGTCAATACATTAGCCAGTCAACACTTCAACTCATAGTTTGGGTCAGGTATTAATCATGAAGAGGTATTCCAATATTTCATCTGTTGGATTTACGTGTTATGAAATACTTAAATATGGGACACTGTGGTGAGAAGTGTGCAAATGTTTAGGTTGCCATCACTTCAAGCTGTTGCTCACAACACAACCAAGGTGTGGCACTTGTACCACACAGGTCCTGTCTTGCTAATTATTTATGGTAATTACACCAGAGGAAAACACACAGAACAAGCTGGAAAATAGAGATGTGAGTTTAAGGGAGAGGTGCGGAGGGGTGGAGAGAGAAGGGAGTAGTGAATGAAAAGGGTGTGGTGTATGTTCTGGTTCTGAAGCCTTAATGTCTGCCAACCATGCAGTAGATATAGAGGTATCTGTAGCAGAAAAAAAAAAGTTCTAGAAATCCTGTTCGAGTTTTTGTTCCTAACTATTGATTTGAAATGCACCCTCTTAAGTATACATTAAAAGAATAAATAACTGTTTTTCAATTTAAAGCAAAATAAGCTCATCCATAGTTTCTGTTATTTGAATCTTTATGTGCTTATCAGAAACACTGGTATATCTCATAACATCATTAGTTGTTATTTCCAACATTTTTATTTATTTTTCTTCTGCTATCCTGCTGAACAGTTCTTTCCATAGCATCAGAAATTTTAAAAATATACATTAAAAAAGGTTTCTTGTTTAAAAGATTTCAAGTCTTACATTTACAATATTCTGATTTTTTAAAAATCTGGTGAATATACTTTGGGTTTTTAAAAATTCATATAGGGGCCAGGCCCGGTGGCTCATGCCTGTAATCCCAGCACTTTGGGAGGCTGAGGCAGGCAGATCACGAGGTCAAGAGATCGAGACCATGCTGGCCAACATGGTGAAACCCCGTCTCTACTAAAAATACAAAACTTGGCTGGGCGTGGTGGGATACACCTGTAGTCCCAGCTACTCCGGAGGCTGAGGCAGGAGAATCACTTGAACTCGGGAGGTGGAGGTTGCAGTGAGCCGAGATCACACCACTGCACTCCAGACTGGGCAACAAGAGTGAAACTCCATCTCAAAAAAAAAAAAAAAATCACATAGTTATCTAAGTTATCTATCCTGTAGCTTCAGTATGTATTTGGGAAATTTGTTAAACTGTCCAAACTTCAGTTTTCTCAGCAGTAAAATGGGATTTGAATACCTCCTAATGATTGTTAAAAGGATTAAATGAGATCACGTAGACAATTCACCCAGCACTGTTACAGTAGGTAGTAAGGCAGATAGGAGCAGGACAGGAGAGGGCCCCCTCACCAGAAATGTCAGGCAGCCATCAGGTGATGGTCAGATGCTGTTGAACTGCCTCTCTAAAATAATAATTTGTCGCAGCCAGCACCAGGAAAAGGAAGTCTCCCAATAGATAGAAAAAAACCTGATGCTAGTGACCAGCAGCTTCCTAATAAGATCTCAGGAGTTGGGCTAGTGAGCTCCAGTGTGTGCGCTAAGAGGCAAAACAGTGGAGTTTAACTGGTATATGACCTTCCTCTAGGAGCACTGGACTGGTAAGGGAAAAACACCTCAAGTGAGCATGTGCACAACTTTAGTGAACACATTGTGCATGCAGCCCCTCCCAAGTGCTGGCAGGCCACTCTGCATGCAGACAGCTCGCCCCAAGGAAAGAATCATGGGAGACGTAATGCAACCCCGGAAGCATGCCAACGTAAAAGACCCCGAGTCAAGGGTCAAAATGTGCATTTGAACCTCTCAAGTCGCTTGCTTGGCCCTCTTCCAAATGTAATTTACTTCCTTTCACTCCTGCTTTAAACTTTTGAATAAACTTCCACTTCTGCTCTAAAACTTTGCCTCAGTCTCTCACTCTGCCTTGTGCCCCTCAGTCTAATTCTTTCTTCTGAGGAGGCAAGAATTGAGGTTGTTGCAGACCCGTATGGATTTGCCACCACTAACAGTACAAACCCCAACAGTGGTAGTTAACTCATGAATATAAGGGTATTATTAGCCTGACAAACACAATGGAGGCTTCAAAATGTTTATTACTTCAAATGGCTCAAAAAATAATTTATGAACCTGAATTTAAAGATTTGTGAGTGTTTCGTTGTTCAAAACTCTATGTCTATTCACATAACCTATTCTCTGTGGTCAAAAGGCCACAGTATAAGTGGGTTGTAAGATGAGATTTGTAGGGTAAGTAGATATTAGGCAGCTTGCAGGGGATGTGAGGATCTAAGAATAAACAAAGGTGGAGGTGCAGATTTGGTCAGGGAGAGAAAGTAAACATATGCATAGAATTGCAAAAGTCCCCGAATTGGGCTGCACATCAGAATCATCTTGGAGCTTTAAAAACTTACTGATGACTGGGTCCTCCCCAAGAGGGTCTGATTTAATTGCTTTGGGATGGCCTTGGCAGTGGGATGTTTTAAAGTCTCTATGTGATTTTAATGTCTAGTCAAGGTTCAGAACCAGCACTCTACAAACAAGAAATCAGGGAGTTAGAAGAAAATAGAAAGGTTACTGAGGGAGGAGAATAGAAAGACTAGAATGGAAGAAGCAGACAATTCGTGAAATACTTTGCAGGCTATGCAATGTCATCCTATGCTGTGCTATGCTAAGGACTTTAGGCTTTATTCTGAAGAGAAATTAGTTGCAAAATAAAGAGTGAAGTGATCAGTTTTGCTAGCACTGGCTGCAGGGTCAAGAACCGATTATAGGGAACAAGACTAAAGGCAGGAGCTGAGTTAGATGAGTAAGAGGTTGTAATTGTCTAGGCTAAACAAGGGCAGTTGTAATGGGTTGGAGAAAAGTGAAGTGATTTGAGATGCCTTAAGGAGAATTGCTGACAGAAGTTGGTGACTTGATTGGAAAGCAAGGATGAGAAAGGAATTGGCTGGAGCTGCTGTTTATTGAGGTAACCCAGAAAAAGTGAAGTCTGTGAGAAGGAGATAAATTCAGTTGGAAATGCTGATTCGAAGTGTCCTTTGGATGACTAAATGGAGATGTTGATAAGCACTTGGACATATAGGTCTGGAACTTGAGAAAGCAATGGGGGTGAGTGTGTTGGAAAAAAGGAAGGACCTGTGACTCAGGTCTCATACAGACTGCCTTTCTCTGCCTTCATTGCAGCTCCACAAGCTGGCCCTTTCTCAACTTGAACTTCAGGGCCTGTCACAACACGTAATCTTTGCATTTAGTATGTAGTATCAGTAGAACACTGAAGTAAAGGGGCAAGGTGGGAGGAGGACAATTTATTATAGAAGGTTCTAAACACGACTTTGTTCTATTTCTATGAAGATGGTAAGACACCATGTAAGCATCAGAAAGACAAAATCAAGTAATAGGCCCAGCATTCCACCTCAGGTGCTTCCTGGTAGCTTTTTTTCCCCCTATATGACCCTGGTTCTCTGGTCAAACTTAATTGGACCAGGAGTAGCACCTGACCCCAGCTGAACCAATCTGAGACTCTCTAGAGAATTTAAACTGAAAGACATATTGATCACAGCGCTCTGGAAGGAGAATCAAAGGATTCCTGGCCAGGCACGGTAGCTCACACCTGAAATCCTACACTTCGGGAGGCCGAGGCAGGCAGATCACCTGAGGTCAGGAATTCAAGACCAGCCTGGCCAACATGGTGAAACCCCATCTCTACTAAAAATACAAAAAAAAAATTAGCCTGGCGTGATAGTACGTGCCTATAATCTCAGCTGCCTGGGAGGCTGAGGCAGGAGAATCACTTGAACCCGGGAGACGGAGGTTTCAGTGAGCTGAGATCAGGCCACTGCACTCCAGCCTGGGTGAGAGAGCGAAACTCTGTCTCAGACAAACAAACAAACAAACAAACAGAATTCCTGCTGCAGAGTTGCCTTGGTTCCTTCATTCTTGCTGATGGTTGTTTAACTTTTCCTTGGATTGTGTGATAATCTCAGAATAATGTCCATAAATTCCCATTGGAAATGAGAACTGTCATAAATGTTTGTTAAAATAATGCAACTATTACAAAATAAGGTAGTTACCTACTTTACTCTTTATTTATTTTTAATTTAAAAGTAAACTTTAATGTCAAAAATGCAAACTTGGGGAGGGCAGAAAGATCACACACAAGGCTGCCACTTCACACCTGGAAGGTTGCACAGCGGCCGGACAGAGGCGCTCCTCACTTCCCAGACGGTGGGGCGGTACTTTACTCTTTAATACTATCTTGGAAAGTTGTCCATTAAATGAAAAAAGCCATTGGAAGAGCAACATAGATGGTATCATCCCACATGAAGAAAAACTGTGTGCATGTTGGCATGTGTACATGTATGTATAAAAATCTGGAATGATCCATAACCAGATTTCTTTAAATTTCCATTTTTATTTTAGATTCAGGGGACACATGTGCAGGTTTGTTGTAAGGGCATATTGTGTGATGCTGAGGTTTGGGCTTCTATTGATCCTGTCACCCAGATAGTGAACATAGTATTCATTAGGAAGTTTCCAGCCGTTCCCTTGCTCCCTCCCTCCCTCCTCCTTTTGGATTCCCCAGGGACTACTGTTCCCATCTGCTTTTTTGTTTCATTTTTGAGACAGGGTCTCAGGTGGTTCGCCCAGGCTGGAGTCAGTGACATAATTATGGCTCACCACAGCCTTGACCTCCTGGGCTCAAGTGATCCTCCTGTCTCAGCCTCCAAGTAGCTGGGACCATAGGCATGCCCCACCATACCCAGCTAATTTTTTTATTTTTTGTAGAGACAGGATCTCACTATGTTGCTCAGGCTTATTATAAGTAAGGACATGTTATATTTGGTTTTCTGTTTCTGTGCATTTTTATACTAATTTTTATAGTAGTTATTTCTATGAATTTGGAATTGTCAATTGAGCATATAATATGTTTCTATTTTTATCTTTAAAGTTTTCTTTTAAATTCCTTTCCTCTTAACCTAGTTTGAATTGATTTTTCTAACTCATAATCAAAAGAGTCTTCACACAACAGCTGAAGGCATGGAAATAAAAAACATCAAGCAGTTTAATATTCATCAACTATGGGATGTGGAGGGTAACAGGCATTAAGTTGAAAGGGCATTAATTAGGAAGGGTAATCACACTCTAGATTATGGTGGATTTGTTATGTATCCAGGTCCACCTCCTTACGTATATTATCTTATGAGATATATATATCTATCTCAGGTTTTAGAAATAATTGAGTGGGAATCATCCTTCTTGCTGTACAAGTATCGGATTGTTAAGCCTCTAAAACCTTCCAATTTATAACAGCACTAAAGATTGTTTTGAATATCTGAAGCATTTTCTGCTTAAATTTTTAAACCTTGTTTGAATTTAGTGCTGGTAGGATAATGTTTGTGCTAACTTGTCCTTAATAAGGGCTTCCAAATGATCACTATCAGCCTCCAAATCTACAAACACCTCTATTAATTGTTTATTTGACATGACATGTAGAAGGAAATGACAGCACACTCAGGAAAGATATTTAAAGCATCTAAGCCCTTATGGAATAAAAGTGCGTCGTCTAGTTTATGCAAACCCTCAGGTAATAAGTGATTTTGTTTTTGTTTAAGTATGTTTACCATAATCTACTGCCAACATTTTAAAATTAAGGATTTCCTCTCATCACTAAAAGGTAACACCCTAGTTTGCTCACTAAAAATCTGCACCTTCACATCTAGTTCCATGCATTTATGAACAGTCTCAATTGTTAACAGTTTTAAAAAATTTGATATTTTCAAAAAAGTAGGTACCTGCAATTAACTATGACAGTGATTTTTAGCATATGCTTACAGCAAAATAAAATACACTCAGAAATGTTTAAAGAACAATGCGAGATAAAATGAAAAGTTACAGAGTAAACACTGATTGTCACCACCATACAGGTTAGGAAATAGAGCACTGCTAGCAACCTAAGAGCCTCCCATCCTGTAGGAGGCTTCCAGACTCATTCTCCTCCCCTAAACTTAACCGCTATTATGACTACATGATAGCCACTTTCTTGATTTTGTTATGGTATTTTTTACCACCTACATACATGCCTCTTGTATTAGTCTGTTCTCACGCTGCTAATAAAGACATACCCGAGACTGGGTAATTTATTAAGGAAAGAGGTTTAATGGACTCACAGTTCCACATGGCTGGGGAAGCCTCACAATCATGGCAGAAGGCAAAGGAAAAGCAAAGGCACATCTTACATGGCAGCAGGCAAGAGGGCATGGGCATGTGCATGTGCAGGGGAACTCCCCTTTATAAAACCATCAGATCTCATGAGACTTATTCACTATCACAAGAACAGCATGGGAAAAACCCACCCCCATGATTCAATTACCTCCCATCGGGTCTCTCCCATGACATGTGGGAATTATGGGAGCTACTATTCAAGATGAGGTCTGGGAGGGGACACCATATCACCCCTGTTTCTGAACTATATAATGAACTATATAATGTTCTATATAGTTCATTATATATAATTCTATATAGTTCTATATAGAATTCTATATAGAACTATATAGAATTATATATAATGAACTATATAGAACTATATATACATATAATGAACTATATAACATATATAGTTCTATATACTATATAACTATATAACGTATATAGTTCTATATATTTCATTATATATAATGAACTATATAACGTGTACTAATAGTTTTCTTTGGTGTCTTACTACTTTTGCTCAACATTGTGGTTATGAGGTTTATCCAAGTTTATATGTACTTGTGCTTTCTTTGTTTGCAATGCTGAGTAATATTCCAGTATAAGAACACACTACTTTAAAAAATTATCCTTTTGATAATTATCATTCTGTGAGATTTTATAAGTTTTTCTGCCTTTAGAAATCAGCCACTTTTTATTACTTTACACAAATTTTAAAAGATGGCAGGCAGGATCGAGTCTCTCACTAAAAAGCTCACTGAAGATATTGTTAGGCCTGATACTTGGCAGAGGAATTCTTGAAACAGCAGAGCATTTACACCTTATGTACAGCAAGTAATTGCTGAGCATAGTTTCTGCATGCTTTGTCCCTGTTAAACCGTCACTACAGCTGTGCAACAGGTGCACAAATGTATTTTTCTTCTTTAAACTGTTGAAAATAATATTCCTGCATTCCCCCACTTCTCAGTAGGTGGTCCTGAGACTTAAAACACTGCCACAAGTAAATTTTCTCCTTCTCACTGAATTCTACTCATTAGAAATGGCTCCTTTCCAGAATTAATGCATAAAACAGTTGCCATTTTCTAGCATTGTGGAGTTGAATGATCTACTGCTTGGTGCTTGGGCAAAAGCGAGTGAATAAAACCATGAGAGAATTTGTGTGACATACTACTGAGAACACTAATCAAACTCTGGAACAAAGAAATTTTGCAAACTTAGCAGCAAAGGCATAAAATATGTTTGACTACCTAAAAATATTAAATTCCATATTATATATATAAGGTGCATCTGCAACGACAGGTTACACTGTATATTATGTAAGGAGAAATTTTTAAATCAATTCATAAAAACACGAAATAGGCCAGGAACAGTGGCTCATGCCTGTAATCCCAATGCTTTGAGAGGCCAAGGCAGAAGGATCACTTGAAGCCAGGAGTTCAAGACCAGCCTGGGCAACATAGTGAGACCACATCTCTACAAAAGAAAAATTTAAAAATTAGCCAGGCATGGTGGCACTGACCTGGTAGTCCTAGCTACTTGGGAGGCTGAGGCGGGAGGATCACTTGAGCCCAGGGGTTTGAGGTTGCAGTGAGGAAAAGAGCAAAAATGTTTTATATTTAGGTAACTAGAGTGTCTTACAAACTGAGCTTTAATCCCAGCTAAATATTTGGAAAGCATTTTCACTCTGAGCTGGCCAATTCCCTCTGCAAAGGCTGAAGAGACCCATCTCAGGCATCTCAGGCCTGATTGACTGAGCACAGTGATTTCCAAAGCAGGAAACAATCTGACTGGGACATATCAACATCTGACATGGAAATTTCCTTTTCTGAATGCATGTATTTGTATTAAACTGGGGAACATTTCTGTACCTGGTTTGTTAGCTAGAAAACTGTGCTCTTTGGTGGTGTTTTCACTGTTGGATAGCATTAAACGAGTGCAAGTATGAGCTGTACAGAGCACTATTTCAACTTGTTCTTTTTTCTCATCTCAGTATTTTTGAATAATCAAAAAATGTTTATGGTATAATCAAAATTGAATTTCATCCCAAGGAATAAATGACCACAGAAATTCTACAGGCTTATCATTAAACATATACCCAAACAGTGAAATGAAATTGATTATATATTAGAATGGGTAGTTCAGAAACTCCAAACCACTAAGCATGAATGGTGTTATTTTTAGATTAAATTCTCCTTTTTATTCCTAGACTGAAGATAAACATAATATAGTGTTTGAAGGATTTTGTAAGATAAGCAAGCTGAAGATTAAAATAAGTAATAATAGCAGAACAGCACCATCTCTTCCCTTTTAAAAATACATATTTAACAACTGAGGTTATACCAGAAGCAAAAATGTTTTGAATTATTGAAGAGCTCAAATTCAAAGTGCCAAGATAATGATATGTAAACCCTCATAGGTATGATATCTTCATAAGCAATCTAAATCATAGGATTAAATTTTGCCTTAATCCAAAATTTACCTTAACCGTTTATTTTACACACACACACACACACACACACACTCATATAACAGTATAGAATAATGCATATGATGTATATATTAAATTTGGTAGATGAGAATTTTTCTTTATTTAAATATTTCTCTCACTCTGATTAATAACTTTCAAATATTAAAACATTACATTGGCCAGGTGTGGTGGCTCATGCCTGTAATCCCAGCACTTTGGGAGGCCTAGCTTGGAAGATTGCTTGAGCTCAGGAATTCAACACCAGCCTAAGCAACAAAGTGAGACCTCGTCTCTACAAAAACTAAGAAAATTAGATGGGCATGGTGGTGCATACCTGTGGTCCCAGCTACATGGGAGGCTGAAGCAGGGGTATCACTTGAGCCTAGGAGGTAGCTGCAGTTGGCTGGGATCATGCCACTGCATTCCAGCCTGGGTGACAGAATGAGACCCTGTCTCAAAAAAAAAAAAAGAACTTCAAGACATTATATTTGTAATTTCAGTGAATGATTTATGAGGGATAATTCTTTCTGGACTTTTGCACAAAACTGTGTCACTAAAGTAAAAGACAAAATCATTTATTAATAAAAGGATATATTTTATCTCCCTCTCAGCCTCCATGAGGAAACAAAAACAATAAGTCACCATGTACTGGAGAATATGGAGATATTTTTATTCATATGAGAAAAAGCAAACCGTGAGCCAGATAACTTATGCTAATGATGTGGGAAAATAGGCAAAATTAGGTCATCTAATAAAGCTAAATTAAGTTGGATAATTATTACCTAGTTTATTTCTGAGCAGGCAACCCACTCCGTAAATATGAAATGGTTAAGCAACATGGACACAGTGCTGTTTCTGTAGGAAAGCTAGGAGTGAGTGCAGTTGTTGGTTGACTTGCCCTTCTTAAGCAGCATGCCAGGCTTCCCTTTTCCACAGTTAAAGTCAATGGAGAATTGTCTGTGAGTGTGCGGATGCATCATATCTCAGTACAGGAAGGTGCTCTTGTCTCTGGTCAAATTTTCACTAAGGTATTGTTGAAACCCCAAAGAAGAGGAACTCAATCAATGGAAGTCTTCTTTCAGTGTCACAAAGAGCTGGTAATCTAGCTTGTTGGCTTCCACATCCAGATTTGCCAATTATTTGCTCTGTGATAAAACACTTAGCCCTCATTTCAGCTGTCTAAAATAAGGAAGCTCTGCTGCAAGGATGGTAGTAGGTTTAATTCATCTTAAGGAGCTCCGAAATCCCTGTCTACATGGTTAAAGAAATAATACATTAAGGATTCTGGTCTTCTAGAAAGGGAAAAATAGGCTGGAAAAGTCTTACTGTAATGAACACATGCCACAAATGTGATTAACTAAGGGTTACTTGCAAAAATTAAAGAAGAAGGTAAATTAGCTTAGAAAGTAACCCTGACAAAATATAACCACCCAATAGTCAGCATTGTTTTGGTCATTTGAAATGTGAGAAACTGTCAGTAACTGAAGAATTGGAAGGAGGGAGTAACATGTTGTTTGAAGGGAAATAATATAAGTAATGCCACTTATTCAGAACTTACTATATTTTAGGCATTTTCTGGGACCAGTGTATACATATTATTTTATGTAATCGTTAACAACACCCTTGAAAGGTGGGTGCTACTTTCTGAACCAATGAGCACTACGAGTTTCCCTAACTTGCCCAAGTTGATGAGCTATTAAGGGGCAGAGTCAGCATTTAAACCCAGGTGTACTGTGACTCTGAACCTATGGTTGTCACTCTAGGTTACAGGGGGATGAGCTAGACTGAGTTTCAGTACTATTCCAACAGGAGGACTTGCCTGATAGTGGCTATGCACAAAGAAGATAATTAATTCCCTGGAAGCTTTATCCAGTGAGATTTTGCTTTTCTCTTAGGATGAACTAATAAGAAGCTGTTCATAAGTGGAGAGCCCTAGAAAATTCCAAAAGACAGAGAGTCATTTCGGGGAAAATACTGGACTTTATATGAACAATCCTAAGAAATAAGATGGAACTCATTTGATGGCTAATGTTGCACAAACTGCTTATGAGGAACAAAATTATATTTACCACAGTCACTGGAAGAAGATGGTTGTTAGTTTACTGTACAATAAAAAAGTTACCAGTGATGATTTAAAAACATACAGGTATTTCTTAGTGTCCGTATGTTTTATGCTATGTCTTACTTTACAGTAGGGGTCTTAAGCTATAGTCCCAAAATGAGTAACTGACATTTCATTGAGTGAAATTAATTCCACTTTGTTGTAGTATTTTTAAAAACTTAAGTGCAATAAATTTTTACTAAATGACAATTTTCCTAGAAGAAATTCTGAAAACTTTTTTTACATATTTAAAAAAAATGGATAAATATTATAATATCAAAAAAGAAATATGGAACTGAATAACTTTCTGGCATGAGAGCAATTGTTTGGAAAGCACATCCTTTATTATATTACAGATGGAGGAGGAAAGTGTTCTTAAATAAAAGTCATTTTTTAACGTTAAATAATTAACAATCAGTGTTAGGTTGTAGAAGGAGCAGGATACCTGGGTTTTAGTTCCAGTTCTTTCACCAACTACATCTTGGATTAGTTGCAAAAACAAAGGGGTTGAACTTAATGATCTCAAGTGTCTTGTGCAGCTCAAAATTCAATATGTCTATATTGCCTAAGAGCAAGATGAATAGCTCACAAAATATTTTCTCAAGCAAGGGTAGAATCATTATGGCTTTGAGTCATTGAAATGTTCCCTGGACAAGCTACTCTGGAGGTACCATATGAGAAGATCTTTCCTTGGCTCAGTGTGTAGAGATGATGTAATGTTTTAAAAGGCCCCACCTTGTTTGGTGAAATCACTCTATCAGTGGAGTACTGGCCTGACAGCTCTGAGAAGAGTTGCCAAAGTGGGCTGCAATGTGAGGTTTTAAAGTTCTATTATCATGCTGCATGAGGAATTTGGAAAAATCAACATTCCAATATATTTAGAATGAAAAATATTACTATCTACCCCCATTTATGACACTTACTATGGCAGGATCTGTTCTGTGTAAAACATGCAATCGAGCAGATAAAGTTATATAAGCTTATGAAGGAACTTCATCAAGGAAGAGAGAAGTCCCAACAATCTCACTACCCTTATCATCTGGATTTACACAATGAGTTTCTTTAGGGAAACCATCTTGAAGCTTCTTCCAAGTCATGTGGAAAGGTTGGCACTTAGCCATGGTTAAAGAATCACCAAGGTTTTCTATGTGGGTGGGGGAAATTGCTTTGCTACACAAACAACAGGAATATTCTCTCAATGTAATAATAGGGTAAACAGAAGTAAATAAGCTTCTCACTTCTCTGGCACTCCCTCTGTTTCTTCCCGATTATCTCTTTTTCTTACCTGTATTGTTTTGAAAACCAAGAGGTATATGAAAGAGCAACAGATCAAAGAGACACATAAGTGTCCTTGCTTGACTTTTGCTCAAACTTTGATTTTTTCTCTTTGAAGTCATAAGCCAGTTTTTTCCCTTTTAAGGATTTGGGCAGTTAATTTTTAGTTTAGAAAACTAGATCAGGTGATCATCATTTATGGTTCACAGGCCAAATATATTGTATATTTCCTAACTTCACCACCCCCAATAAATTAGAAAAACATGGGGCATATTTATCCTTGCAATAGCTATCTGTAGATCATAAACACAGTTCATATACCAAGTACTATGCTAGGTACTGAGGGTACAAAGCCTAGAAAAATGATTATGGATCTTATAGTTAAATCAAAATCAATGAATAATGGATGTGGATATAAGGCTGATTTTTCTTCAACAACCCAATCAAAACATAAACATTCAAATATACATTATTCTCTTTCACATGATTACTGTATATCATCAGGCTCAATTAGTTAATCTATTGAGGTCACCACTACAAATAATTTTCAAAAAGCTGTTTTGATAATAGCCTTCAAAATTGGCATTACATTTTAAAACGTTTACGATTCATCAAAACTTCACCCTTTGAATGTAAGTTTAATTTTGGGGGTAAAGCTGAAGCCATTGAGCCTAGTGTTATAAATAAGGATTGCTTGTAATAAGGATTGTAGTAAGTCAAACTGAGCTATGTCTCTAAAGTAATAAGACTAATTCTGATATGAGACTTGTGGAAAGTAGAGGAGTGATGATCGGGGAGGCATGTTGCAACAGTAGTTTGCTTGGTTAACTATCCTGAAAGGCTGATCACCTAGATCGCTAACTGAGGGTACAGGTGATTTGAGTAATTTGCTTATTGTGAACTCAGTAGAACAAATAGTAGAATCCATAGTAGAGCTTTTATGTGAGGATGTACTCACTGAGATGGAGCAATCACAGCTTGTCTAGGCTGGACTAACCAAAATGGCAGGTTTTTTTTTAAAATTTTATTATTATTATACTTTAAGTTTTAGGGTACATGTGCACAACATGCAGGTTTGTTACATACGTATACATGTACCATGTTGGTGTGCTGCACCCATTAACTCATCATTTAGCATTAGGTATATCTCCTAATGCTATCCCTCCCCACTCCCCCCAACCCACAACAGGCCTCGGTGTATGATGTTCCCCTTCCTGTGTCCATGTGTTCTCATTGTTCAATTCCCACCTATGAGTGAGAACATGCAGTGTTTGGTTTTTTGTCCTTGCTATAGTTTGCTGAGAATGATGGTTTCCAGCTTCATCCATGTCCCTACAAAGGACATGAACTCATCATTTTTATGGCTGCATAGTATTCCACGGTGGATATGTGCCACATTTTCTTAATCCAGTCTATCATTGTTGGACATTTGGGTTGGTTCCAAGTGTTTGCTATTGTGAATAGTGCCGCAATAAACATACGTGTGCATGTGTCTTTATAGCAGCACGATTTATAATCATATGGGTATATATCCAGTAATGGGATTGCTGGGTCAAATGGTATTTCTAGTTCTAGATCCCTGAGGAATCGCCATACTGACTTCCACAATGGTTGAACTAGTTTACAGTCCCACCAGCAGTGTAAAAGTGTTCCTATTTCTCCACATCCTCTCCAGCATCTGTTGTTTCCTGACTTTTTAATAATTGCCATTCTAACTGGCATGAGATGGTATCTCATTGTGGTTTTCACTTGCATTTCTCTGATGGCCAGTGATGATGAGCATTTTTTCATGTGTCTGTTGGCTACATAAATGTCTTATTTTGAGAAGTGTCTGTTCATATCCTTTGCCCACTTTTTGATGGGGTTGTTTGTTTTTTTCTTGTAAATTTGTTGGAGTTCATTGTAGATTCTGGATATTAGCCCTTTGTCAGATGAGTAGGTTGCAAAAATTTTCTCCCATTCTGTAGGTTGCCTGTTCACTCTGATGGTAGTTTCTT
Organism: Homo sapiens; assembly: GCF_000001405.40. Taxonomy (NCBI): domain Eukaryota; kingdom Metazoa; phylum Chordata; class Mammalia; order Primates; family Hominidae; genus Homo; species Homo sapiens. Next base: position 39,488,493 of record NC_000012.12, on the reverse strand, counting down.
TTGCTGTGCAGAAGCTCTTTAGTTTAATTAGATCCCATTTGTCAATTTTGGCTTTTGTTGCCATTGCTTTTGGTGTTTTAGACATGAAGTCCTTGCCCATGCCCATGTCCTGAATGGTATTGCCTAGGTTTTCTTCTAGGGTTTTTATGGTTTTAGGTCTAACGTTTAAGTCTTTAATCCATCTTGAATTAATTTTTGTATAAGGTGTAAGGAAGGGATCCAGTTTCAGCTTTCTACATATGGCTAGCCAGTTTTCCCAGCACCATTTATTAAATAGGGAATCCTTTCTCCATTGCTTGTTTTTCTCAGGTTTGTCAAACATCAGATAGTTGTAGATATGCGGCATTATTTCTGAGGGCTCTGTTCTGTTCCATTGATCTATATCTCTGTATTGGTACTAGTACCATGCTGTTTTCATTACTGTAGCCTTGTAGTATAGTCTGAAGTCAGGTAGCATGATGCCTCCAGCTTTGTTCTTTTGGCTTAGGATTGACTTGGCGATGCGGGCTCTTTTTGGGTTCCACATGAACTTTAAAGTAGTTTTCTCCAATTCTGTGAAGAAAGTCATTGGTAGCTTGATGGGGATGGCATTGAATCTATAAATTACCTTGGGCAGTATGGCCATTTTCATGATATTGATTTTTCCTACCCATGAGCATGGAATGTTCTTCCATTTGTTTGTATCCTCTTTCATTTCATTGAGCAGTGGTTTGTAGTTCTTGAAGAGTTCCTTCACGTCCCTTGTAAGTTGGATTCCTAGGTATTTTATTGTCTTTGAAGCAATTGTGAATGGGAGTTCACTCATGATTTGGCTCTCTGTTTGTCTGTTATTGATGTATAAGAATGCTTGTGATTTTTGCACATTGATTTTGTATCCTGAGACTTTGCTGAAGTTGCTCATCAGCTTAAGGAGATTTTGGGCTGAGACAATGGGGTTTTCTAGATATACAATCATGTCATCTGCAAACAGGGACAATTTGACTTCCTCTTTTCCTAATTGAATACCTTTTATTTCCTTCTGCCTGATTGCCCTGGCCAGAACTTCCAACACTATGTTTAATAGGAGTGGAGAGAGAGGGCATCCCTGTCTTGTGCCAGTTTTCAAAGGGAATGCTTCCAGTTTTTGTCCATTCAGTATGATACTGGCTGTGGGTTTGTCATAGATAGCTCTTATTATTTTGAGATACGTCCCATCAATACCTAATTTATTGAGAGTTTTTAGCATGAAGCGTTGTTGAATTTTGTCAAAGGCCTTTTCTGCATCTGTTGAGATAATCATGTGGTTTTTGTCTTTGGTTGTGTTTATATGCTGGATTACGTTTATTGATTTTTGTATGTTGAACCAGAAAATGGCAGGTTTTATAGTGAAATAAAGATGAAAGACTAAAAGATGGATTATGTTAATGAAGGGGAAGGTTCTGTGTATCTTTAGATTAAATGAATATTATACAATTTCAGTTTTACTGAAAGGGTTGACAACGAAAGCATTTTGCTAAAATCAAAATAAGCAATGTATTCTAATTATATTAAATGATAAAGAGAAATAGAGGTAGGCACTATTCTCTTTCACCTTTATTGCAAAATTAGGATTCATAAAGTAATTAAAAGCAACTGTTCATAAATATCATTCAAATTTTCCTCACTATTGTCCCTTTTGAAAACTGGCATTTCTATGCAATGTATTATTTACCGAGTCCTTTTATAAGAAGGATTTTATAAAATTATGTAATAGATACATTTACATTCATCAATCCAAATTAAATACTTGAGATACTTTTGGGATGATACAGCTTAAGTTGGCATGGCATTCTCTCAGTTTTCAAATAATTTTCATAGTAATTTGAAATAGAGGCAGGAAGGTGTATTATTCAGGGTTCTCCAGAGAGAAACAATAGCGGATATATATATATATATATATATATATATATGTGTGTGTGTGTGTGTGTGTGTGTGTGTGTGTGTGTGTGTATACATATATATAATGGAATATATATATAATATGGAATATATATATATATATAGATAGATAGATAGATAGAGAGAGAGAGAGAGAGAGAGAGAGAAAATTGGCTCATGCAATTGTTGAGGCTTGCAAGTCTGAAGTTTGTAGGGTAGGCCTGCAGGCTGGAAACCCAGGCAGAATTTCTGTGTCTTAAAGCAGAATTCCTTCTTCACAGGGAAATCTTGGTTTTTGCTCTTAAGGCCTTCAATGGATTGGATGAAGCCCACACATATTATCAATGGTAATCTTTTTTTACTTAAAGCCAACTGAATAAAAATCTTAATTATATCTATAAAATACCCTCACAGGTTTTTTGCCCCCATTTTTCAAATGAGGAAACAGAGGCTCAGTAAAGTTAAGAAATCCGATTAAGTGACCCATCTAGGAATCGACAGAAGCCAGGTTGGAGTTCATATTCTGCCTCCCAGATTAGAATTTCACCAATCCCATTCTATCACCCCTCTTGAATGTTTGCAGTGGGGCCTGTAGCTCTTAGTTTTAAATTGGTTAATTATTTCCTTAATTATGATGAATTTTTAAAAAAGTTTTATGATTATTTAGCTAGCATAAATTTTTGTTCTTGATTGAAAAGGTTATCTTCTTCGTTTGTGTCATTTATTCTTTCATTTAGTCATTTCACCTGAGCTATATGAATCCAAATGGTTCAATAGAGCCTATTGTTCTACTTGTCACATAGAGAATTACTTTGGTTCAATGGTATCCTCCAAGTATACTATCAGGCAATATAGCCCAGAGGTCATAGAACAGAAATGTTCACAGGCAGAATAAAGATGCTCAAATTACAGTTCATTAAATCATACAGTGTGACGAAACCCGGGAAAAGAGATGGAGTGGGTTAACACACTTAGAACAGGTTATAAGCGGGGGTACCACACTACCTGAATCCCTTATGCAGAGTTCATATGTCCGGCCTCTCTCTTTGCTGCATCAAGTTTCCCAACTTTTGACGTGACTATGAGAATCATAGTTCAGACTTGAGTAAGCAGCCCGCCGGTGGGAGATGTCCAGGGCCAATACACACTTGCTCTATTAGAAAATGCAGGGGCAAGTACACCAGACCTATTAGCCTGCTGAGCCACTCTGGGTTTTATTTGTATTTCTTGGGTTAAGAGCATGTGGGGCTGGGCGCGGTGGCTCACGCCTGTAATCCCAGCACTTTGGGAGGCCGAGGCAGGCGGATCACAAGGTCAGGAGATCGAGACCATCCTGGCCAACATGGTGAAACCCTGTCTCTACTAAAAATACAAAAATTAGCCAGGCGTGGTGGTGCGCACCTGTAATCCCAGCTACTCGGGAGGCTGAGGCAGGAAAATCACTTGAACCAGGGAGGTGGAGATTGCAGTGAGCTGAGATCGCGCCACTGCACTCCAGCCTGAGTGACAGACTGAGACTCCGTCGCAAAATAAAATAAAAAAAAAAAGAGCATGTGGGACCAGAATAGGATCATATGTTCTCATGGCCCAGCTATATCATGATTATGAATTGGTCTTTACATGTCTTTCTATCTTTAAGTAACATTTTCCCACCATATTTTTATTAACTATCTTTGGCAGTTCTTAGAGATTATTAATTTACTCTTGATATTTTCATGTTATGATTTTTCCTGTCTTTACATGCTACTTGTTTACTCATTATCTATCCTTAACACATTCTGTGAGCTTCACCTCTAAATCATAAGCTCATAGTTTAATTACTGTGTATACTCTATGCTTTTCATGAGTTTCACCCATACCACTTGTTCTCTTGTCTTTTATAGCATAATTAAATATTCTCAAATAATTTACACATTACAGTATTGGAAGAAATAATAACTTTTATAAAGCTGAAGATCAATAGAGAGTCTTAAGAATAAATCATAAATTACATCACTATCAAATTTTACTGATAGCATCAAATCAAATTAGATTTTTATAATAAGGAGGGCATGTACCACTAGACTAGCAGAGGACATGAAGGCTTGCCTTTGAGATTTACTTCTGGAGAATCCAAATGATAAATACAGCTTCTCATGGATTAATCCAATTTCTCAGATCCTTAGTTTTTAAAGTGAAGTATTATGACTGTAAATACAGAGATCTTTCTACCATATGACTTGAAACCAAACACAAATATAAACGTGAATTAGATATGATCTTTGAGTTTGAGTAGCTCCAAGTAGAGAGGGAAGGGAATCCATAAATAAGTAATTACTATCTGAATGAACAATGTCACAAAATCATGGAAGAGGAAATGCCGCTCCTAGCCGAATAGCTTAAACTTCCTAAGTGGGGTCATTGAAGTTGGATTTGATAAATAGAAGTTTGCAAGGTGGTTAGCTGAGAAGGAGAAAAAGGCAGAACAAACTATGCAAGACAGATATGAAGGAATAAAAGAACATAGCATGGAAAAGTCATTGGGTAAGTTTGGAATGGCTGCAGTGTAGGTTTTCTTAAAATTAGAAGATGAATATATATGGAAAGGAAACTTGTGTCCGTAACATAGAGGGCCCTACAGGACTTTGTTAAGGGGTTTGTAATTTATCTTAAGATAGTGATGAATTATAAAAGAAGTTTAGGCTTGCGTATGACATAATCAGATTTGTCTCCCCAGATATCATCCAATTGGGTCAGACAGTTCAGATTCTAATATTGGTTTTGACCTCAAGGCTTTGGGTAACTATTGTTTCCTGTCAGCCTCTCCTGTTCTGTCTAACAAGCACCCATGATTCATCAGTAACATTTTTTTTTTTTTTTTGAGATGAAGTCTCGCCCTGTCGCCCAGGCTGGAGTGCAATGGCGTGATCTCGGCTCAATGCAACCTCTACCTCCCAGTTTCAAGAGATTCTTCTGCCTCCGCCTCCTGAGTAGCTGGGATTACAGGCACGCACCATCACACCCAGCTAATTCTTGTATTTTCAGTAGAGACAGGGTTTTACCATGTTGGCCAGGATGGTCTCGATCTCCTGACCTCGGAATCCGCCCGCCTCGGCCTTCCAAAGTGCTGGGATTACAGGCGTGAGTCACTGCGCCCAGCCTAATAACATTTTTTTATAGTCCCCAGCCAGCATTCCTCTTCCTCCTTCAATCACACATAAAGCATCACACTTTGTACTTTTTGGTTATACTCCAGGTTGAAGTTTTCACTTGTATCTATGTGCGCAAATGTCAACTATCCCTTTACATAGACTGAGTCCGATTCTTTCCATGAAGTCCTCTTGAATTGAAAAATATTTTGTAGAGCATCGGCTTAGAAATCATAGTTCCACTTCCTCATTCCGTTCTACACTGATTCCCTATAACAATTTGGAAAATGTCTTTCATTACTTAGTTTTTAGTTATATCTTATGCACAGTTCCCTTATAGTTTTACTTGTAAGTCTTATTGCCTGGAAGATATTTTTTATAACTACATGCATTTAGTGTATTCACTTAATTTTAACAGCAAAACTCTAAGAAATAATATCACTAACTTCTTATGCAGCTGAGAATAGCAAACCATGGATTTTTATAAGAGTAATTATAGGAATTAAGACATACAGTCAAGGGTACAGAAAAAAATGGCTGACTTTAGTTATTCTTGTCAAAATTGTTGTGGAATATGGCTTAAAATAGAAAACAAGAAAGAAAGCAGACTTCTGGTAACAGATTAAATTAATTGACCTCCAAATTGTAGGCACTTCTGTTCATTTCTGAAAAGGCTGTTTAATCTCCTGCCTGAACACATTGAAACTCTCCTTTTGTTGTGAATGACATGTATTCAGCTGTCATTCAGGGATGGAAAACACCCCTTTTGATTGGTACCTGGAAACTTTAGAGCTTCTGGACTGAACAAAAGAGTTTTTTTCAAATACAAAGGTTCAAATGTCTGTTGTTATCTCTCAACTTTTCAGGAAGCAACTACTACTCTACCAGGGACTTATTTTTAATGCTTGAAACCTGCTAATGAAATGTTAAGAATTATATAAAATTTGTTGTGATTAAAACTTCATTCTGCATTAGCTTTATTCACTAGTGAGATGCGCCAAAGCAAATTTGATTTTAAGTTTTGAGTTAAAAAAATATTCAGACAACCTCAAATGGAAAAGAGTAAAACTGGAATATGAATTTGAAAGAGTTTTTTTTTTTTTAGTAATACTTACTCAGTGCCTTATGTACATGACACTATTCTAGGCAATACACACAATTAAATTTTCAAAGAATCATGTGCAGTGGTTTTATAATTAAATCAATGAAAAGAACAGCCAACAATTCCAGATTCAACAATTTGAAGTATAAAGGAAAAATGCTTAGAGAAAATAAAGACAAAAGAATGGTAAATTCAAGTACATAAACATCATTTTTTTTTTTTTCCCTTGAGATAGAGTCTTGCACTGTCACCCAGGCTGGAGTGCAGTGGTGCGATCTCGGTTCACTGCAACCTCCACCTCCCGGGTTCAAGTGATTCTCCTGCCTCAGTCTCCCAAAGTGCTGGGATTACAGGCCTGAGCCACCGCGCCTGGCTGTACATAAACATATTAACTTCTATACAATATAAAGTCCATGAGAAAATTCAAAAACAACAAAATAAGAAAAATATTCACTGACAAAACTCTGGGTGTATTTTACCATAACATTATATTTTTAAAATTAACATCATTTTTTGAAAGTTTTACTCATACCTAAGGCTGTAGTTTATTTTTAAAAATTTCTCTACAACATCCTAGTGTACTGTAATTTATTTATTTGACTCTCAATTAATATTTAAGATGTTTCCAGATTCATGTTATATAAGACTTACTCATATCTTTTGATCATTTTTCTATGTATAATTTTCCGGCTTTTTCTAGGTAATTTGTAAGAACATGTTTTCTGCATTCTAATCTATTGTCAGTTTTATGTGTACAAATAACTTTCTCCAAGGTTTTGCTTATCTTCACTCTTGATATTGTGGGTTTTTTTTTTTATTTAACTCAGCAAAACTTTAAACATTTTATTTTGAGATAAAGCTAGATAAACTGATGGTGTGTTTTGATGAACAGAAGTTCATAATTGTAATGTAGCTTAATTTATCAACCTTTTCCTTTCTGATTACTACTTCTTAGTCTTATTTTAAAAATCTTCTCTATTTGATATCATGAATACTATCTCTTATCACCTAAAATGTTCATAATTTTGCCTTTTATATTTAGTTATCTAATCCACCTGGATTTGTTATTATTTTTTAGTATGATGTGAAATAGGGGTCCAATTTCATGGGTTTTTTTAACGTTTTCTTCTCATTCACAGTTTTTCTAGAGCCATTTATGGTAAAGTTCCTCTGTTCTTCACTTAGCTCCTGGACCATCTCTGTCACAGATAAATGTCTATAAATGTGAGTCTTCCTTTGAGGTCATATATTTCTTTCTCCTTAGTAAAGATTTTTGTCTGTTTTATCATACTTGTTGCCAGCATGTAGAGAGGCAATTGACTATTTAACAATTATTTCTAGCTGACAGCCTTGTTAATATTAATACTTTGTCTAAAGATTACCTTATGTTTTCAATATCAACAATCAGCTCCAAGTAATGAGAGTTTTATTTTTTTCTTTCCAATTTTGCTAGGTTTTCTTTCTTTTTATGTCCTGATTACAGTGGCTAGGACCTTCAGAACAATGTTGAAAAGAAATGCCATTCATGGGCATCCTTTCTTATTTCTAACTTTAAAGGGAATGCTTCCAGTGTATCACTGTTGAGTATGATACTTGCTGTATTTTGTGTTTGTTTGTGCGAAGATACCTTTAACAAAATTAAGGGAAGTTTCTTCCTATTTCATGGAAAGCGTTTCTCAAGAATGTTTGCTAATTGTAATAAAATGCTTTTTCTGCATCTATCATGATAATAGTAAGTTTTCCTACAGATATTCTAGTCAAAGCTATTCTTGTATAAACCAACTTTAACTTGATATATTACCCTTAATTATACATCGTAGGGCTTAGTTTGCTATCTCATTTAGGAATTATTCTTTAGTCAGAAGGGAGATTCAGCCTATCAATTCTCTCTCTCTTTTTTTTTTTTTTTTGGTATTCTCATCTGAATTTGCTATCAAGCTCATAACTATTTTATTAAAGAAGTTGGGGAGTGTTCCTCCTTTTTATACTATCCGAAAATATGTATTTGTAAATCAAAATTGTATGTTCCTTAAATGATCAGTAGAACTCATAAAACTGTTTGGGCCTAAAGTTTTCTTTATGGGACTGTTTCAATCTAGTGATTTGATTTTTTTTTTATTGCTACATTGCCATACAAATGTTCTATTTCTTGCCTTGTAATTTTATAGAGTTTATTTTAGAATGGTAACTTGTATTTTTCTAAAGATTAATCTGTCTTACCTATATTTCAGTATTTCAAATTTCACACCATAAAGTTATTTACAATATTTTAGAAATATCTGCTGTATATTTTTTGTTAATTTATTAATTCCCAATTTTTTAAGTTGTGTCCTTTATCTTCTCTATTAGAAGTTATCAATAATATTAATCAAGCCAGGCGCGGTGGCTCACACCTGTAATCCCAGCACTTTGGGAGACTGAGGTGGGTGGATCACCTGAGGTCAGGAGTTTGAGACCAGCTTGGCCAACATGGTGAAACTACATCTCTACTAAAAATACAAAAAATTAGCAGGGCATGGTGTCACACGCCTGTAGTCCCAGGTACTCAGGAGGCTGAGGCACGAGAATCGCTAGAACCCAGGGGGCAGAGGTTTCAGGGAACCAAGATTGCACCCCTATACTCCAGCCTGGGTGACAGAGTGAAACTCTATCTCTAAAAAAAAAAAAATATGTTACTCATTCCAATTTTGTCTTTGTTAAAATTTTCCATTTTCTCTTCTATTTTCATTTATGTCTTGTCTTACATTTATCATATCTTTTCTGTTACTTCTTTGAGTTTATTGTGTTGTTCTTTTTCTAATTTGTTAGCTGCATGTGTCATTAATTTTCAACTTTCCTTCACTATAATAAACATTAAAATTTAAAATAAATTTACCTGTATAAATTCTGATAATATATCAGAATTATACTATAATATACAGTATTTATATTACTTGTATTATTATTCTAAGTATAATGTTTTCAAATTTCTATTAGAAGTGTTTTTAAATTTCTAAATATTTGAAATTATTTTAATTATATTTTTGTTATTATTTTCTACTTAATTGCATTATAATTAGAGAATGTGGTAGAAGAATTTAATTCTATCCTGGCTTTTGAAATTCCAACAATTAGACATTTGATTTTTTTTTTTTTTGCTTTAATTATGTTTACTTTTTTCTTTGCTCACCATTCCTCTCACAACACAGAAATTTCTGAGATCACTTTCCTCCCCTGTTTCTTTAGTGAGTTTCTTTTGTAATATCATCACGAAAATATGATATTGAAAGTAGAGGAAAGAAAGTCCAGTTCACCTACAAATGAGTGACACTTAAGACTAGCAGCTGCTCCAGAGAGCAATAATGGAAACAAGATACTGGAATGACACCTACAAAATGCTGAGAAGAAATAACTGCTATATTAATCCATTTTCATACTGCTATGAAGAAATACCTGAGACTGGGTAATTTACAAAAAAAAAGCTTTAATGGACTCGCAGTTCCACATAGCTGGGGAGGCCTCACAATCATGGTGGAAGGTGAAGGAGGAGCAAAGACATGTCTTACATGGTGGCAGGCAAGAGAGTGTGTGCAGGGAACTGCCCTTTATAAATCCATCAGATCTCATGAGACTTATTCACTATCACAAGAACAGTATGGAAAAAACCTGTCTCCATAATTCAATTACCTCCCATGACATGTGGGGATTATGGGAACCACAGCTCAATGTGAGATTTGGGTGGAGACACAGCCAAACCGTATCAACCGTCAAATGTTGAATTTTATATTTCAGTGAAACTGTCTTTCAAGGGAAAGGGAAAAGAAAAAAGAAGAAAATATTTCCAACAAATAAACACTGGAGAAAATTACTACCAACAGAGGCAATATTTGAAAAGATAATGGATGATAATTTTCATGAATTATTGCAAGACATACAATGCTTAGATTAAGGAAGCCAAAAGATCATAAGTAAGATAAACAAAAATCAATCCACAACTTTCTCATTCTCCCTAAACTTTCTGGACCCTTGAATGAAACATACACAAGGTCTTCTCACTCTATCCTTCACATCTCTTAAGATCTCTTTAACTGTATTTCATGTCTTTGTCTTTTTTGTGCTATACTGTATGTTATTCTTCTAGATGTATTTTCTAGGTCCATCCCTCTTTCCTCAGCTATGTATAATTTACTATTTAATCCATACACTGGGTTTTTAATATTAATTATTATATCTACATTTCTAAACCCCTATTTGGTTCCTTTGGAAATCTGATTGGCCACTTTCAATTGTCTTTTTTTCTGTCCTCTTATTTTCATTTCCATTTCCATTCCAACAAGGCATTGAGAATGGGAAAAACTGGGAGTGTGGCTGTGATTTCCAATAAGAAACTATGTGTGTTCTGCCCTGGGAAACCTATTCTATTCCACTGGTAAACCTCTTGCATCAGGAAGATATTGAAAGGCACCTTCCATAACAAAATGGAAATCTCTCCACTAATGGCATAGATTTCTGTGATAGCAAAATAAAATTGTCAAGGCTTTCTCTATCATATATGTGCCACACAGATGTCAATATTTGCTTTGTTTTCTGCACATAAGTAATTTCATTCAATACTCTCCACATCAGTAGTTTCACTTACTGCTCTTTGTGATGATATTGATATTAAGTGACATCTCCCTTTTACTATTTATGAAGCAAATTTCCTATATTTCAGTGTTTTTTGTTTGTTTGTAGTAGCTGGCTACATGGGTTTCTCAACAAAGATGTGATTTACAAATATTTTTCTTCTAAAATTCTAGCTTTCTGGAAAAGGCAAAACTATAGACAGTTTAAAAAGATGAGTAGTTAACAGGGGTTCAGGGAAAAGAAGGGAAGGATAAGTAGATGCAGTAAAAGGGATTTTTAAGGCAGTAGAACTGTACCATATGACACTGTGAACCCCGAATATCTGAGACAAGTCTCAGTTAATTTAGAAAGTTTATTTTGCCAAGGTTGAGGACGTGCACCTTTGACACCAGACTCAGGAGGTCCTGAGGACATGTACCCAAGGTGGTCAGAGCACAGTCTGGTTTTATACATTTTAGGGAGACATGAGACGTAAATCAACATATGTAAGATGAACTTGTCTGAGAAAGGCAGGACAACTTGAAGCAAAGGCAGGACAACTCAAAGCCGGGGGGGACTTCCAGGTCATAGGTAGATAAGAGACAAAACGTTACATTCTTTTGAGTTTCTGATTAGCCTCTCCAAAGGAGGAGATCAGATATGCATTTATCTCAGTGAGCAGAGGGGTGACTTTGAGTAGAATGGGAGGCAGGTTGGCTCTAAGCAGTTCCCAGCTTGACTTTTCCCTTTAGCTTAGTCATTTTCAGACCCCAAGATTTGTTTTCCTTTCACACACTGTAATGTGGATACATGTAATCGGACATTTGTCAAAACTCATGCAAGGTACAGGAATACGTCACAGATATTGTGGGTTAGGTTCCAGAGCACTATAATAAGGTGAATATTGTAATAAAGTAAGTCACACAAATAGTGTGGTTTTCCAATGAATATAAATGTTATATTTGGGCTGGGCATGGTGGCTCACACTTGTAATCCCAGAACTTTGGGAAGCCGAGGTCGGTGGACCACTTGAGGCCAGGAGTTTGAGACCAGCCTGGCCAACATGGTGAAACCCTGTCTCTACTAAAAAATACAAAAAATTAGCCGGGCATGGTGGCAGGTGCCTGTAATCCCAGCTACTCAGGAGGCTGAGGCAGGAGAATCACTTGAACCCGGGAGGTGGAGGTTGCAGTGAGCCGACATCGCGCCATTGCACTCCAGCCTAGGCAACAAGAGTGAGACTCCGTCACAGAAAAAAAAAAGCTATATTTGGCTGGGTTCAGTGGCTCACGCCTATAATCTCAGCACTTTGGGAGGCTGAGGTGGGTGGATTACTTGAGCTCAGGAGTTTGAGACCACCCTGGGCAACATGGCAAAAACTCATCTCTAAAAAATAAAAATAAAAATAACCAGGGCATGGTGACACACACCTGCAGTCCCACCTACAGAGAGATGGCTGCAGGGGGCGCTGAAATGGGAGAACTGCTTGAGCCTGGGAGTTTGAGACTGCAGTGAGCCATGATCACACCACTCCAACCTGGGTGACAGTAAATAAATAAATAAATAAATAAATAAATAAAATTTATGTTTATCTGGGTGCGGTGGCATGTGTCTGTACTCCCACTCCTACTTGAGAGGATGAGGCGGGAGGATCACTTGAGTCTAATAGTTTGAGGTCAACAAAGTGAGTTAGTCTCTTAAAAAAATGATTTTTACACTATACTATTGCCTATCAAATGTGTAATAGCATTATGTCTAAAAAAATATACATAACTTAATTTTAAAATATTTTATTGCTGGGCATAGTGATACATACCTGTAATCCCAGTTGCTCCAGAAAATTGCTTGAAGTCAAGGAGTTCAAGTATGCAATGTGCTATGATTGCACCTGTGAATAGCCACTGCACCAACCTGGGCAACATAGTAAGACTTCATCTGTAAAGCAAAAACAATAACAAACAAATAAAGAAAGAAATAAGGGGGAGGAGCCAAGGTGGCCGAATAGGAACAGCTCTGGTCTACAGCTCCCAGCATGAGCGAAGCAGAAGATGGGTGATTTCTGCATTTCCAGCTAAGGTACCGGGTTCATCTCACTGGGGAGTGCCAGACAGTAGGTGCAGGACAGTGGTGCAGCGCACTGTGTGCAAGCCAAAGCAGGGTGAGGCATCACCCCACCTGGAAAGTGCAAGGGGTCAGGGAATTTCCTTTCCTAGTCAAAGAAAGGGGTGACAGACGGCACCTGGAAAATCGGGTCACTCCCACCCTAATACTGTGCTTTTCCAACAGGCTTAAAAAATGGCACACCAGGAGATTATATCCCGCACATGGCTTGGAGGGTCCTACGCCCATGGAGTCTCTCTCATTGCTAGCACAGCAGTCTGAGATCAAACTGCAAGGCGGCAGCGAGGCTGGGGGAGGGGCGCCCGCCATTGCCGAGTTAGTTGTTTGACTAGGTAAACAAAGCGGCCTGGAAGCTCGAACTGGGTGGAGCCCACAACAGCCCAAGGAGGCCTGCCTACCTCTGTAGACTCCACCTCTGGGGGCAGGGCACAGACAAACAAAAAGACAGCAGTAACCTCTGCAGACTTAAATGTCCCTCTCTGACAGCTTTGAAGAGAGTACTGGTTCTCCCAGCACGCAGCTTGAGATCTGAGAATGGGCAGACTGCCTCCTCAAGTGGGTCCCTGACTCCCGAGTAGCCTAACTGGGAGGCACCCCCCAGTAGAGGCGGACTGACACCTCACACGGCCAGGTACTCCTCTAAGACAAAACTTCCAGAGGAACGATCAGGCAGAAGCATTTGCGGTTCACCAATATCTGCTGTTCTGCAGCCACCACTGCTGAAACCCAGGCAGACAGGGTCTGGAGTGGACATCTAGCAAATTCCAACAGATCTGCAGCTGAGGGTCCTGTGTGTTAGAAGGAAAATTAAAAAACAGAAAGGACATCCACACCAAAACCCATCTGTACGTTGCCATCATCAAAGACCAAAGGTAGATAAAACCACAAAGATGGGAAAAAAACAGAGTAAAAAAATTGGAAACTCTAAAAATCAGAGCGCCTCTCCTCCTCCAAAGGAACGCAGCTCCTCACCAGCAACAAAACAAAGCTAGACGGAGAATGACTTCGACGAGCTGAGAGAAGAAGGCTTCAGACGATCAAACTACTCCGAGCTACCGGAGGAAATTCGAACCAATGGCAAAGAAGTTAAAAGCTTTGAAAAAACATTAGACAAATGGATAACTAGAATAACCAATGCAGAGAAGTGCTTAAAGGACCTGATGGAGCTGAAAACCAAGGCACGAGAGCTACGTGACAAATGCAGAAGCCTCAGTAGCCGATGCGATCAACTGGAAGAAAGAGTATCAGTGATGGAAGAAGAAATGAATGAAATGAAGCAAGAAGAGAAGTTTAGAGAAAAAAGAATAAAAAGAAATGAACAAAGCCTCCAAGAAATATGGGACTATGTGAAAAGACTAAATCTATGTCTGATTGGTGTACCTGAAAGTGACAGGGAGAATGGAACCAAGTTGGAAAACACTCTGCAGGATATTATCCAGGAGAACTTCCCCAATCTAGCAAGGCAGGCCAACATTCAAATTCAGGAAATACAGATAATGCCACAAAGATACTCCTTGAGAAGAGCAACTCCAAGACACATAATTGTCAGATTCACCAAAGTTGAAATGAAGGAAAAAATGTTAAGGGCAGCCAGAGAGAAAGGTCGGGTTACCCACAAAGGGAAGCCCATCAGACTAACAGCAGATCCCTTGGCAGAAACTCTACAAGCCAGAAGAGAGTGGGGGCCAATATTCAACATTCTGAAAGAAAAGAATTTTCAACCCAGAATTTCATATCCAGCCAAACTAAGCTTCGTAAGTGAAGGAGAAATCAAATCCTTTACAAACAAGCAGATGCTGAGAGATTTTGTCACCACCAGACCTGCCTTACAGGAGCTCCTGAAGGAAGTACTAAACATGGAAAGGAACAACCAGTACCAGCCACTGCAAAAACATGCCAAATTGTAAAGACCACTGATGCTAAGAAACTGCATCAACTAACAAGCAAAATAACCAGCTAACATCATAATGACAGGATCAAATTCACACATAACAATATTAACCTTAAATGTAAATGGGCTAAATGCTCCAATTAAAAGACACAGACTGGCAAATTGGATAAACAGTCAAGACCCATCAGTGTGCTGTATTCAGGAAACCCATCTCATGTTCAGGGACACACATAGGCTCAAAATAAAGGGATGGAGGAAGATCTACCAAGCAAATGGAAAACAAAAAAAGGCAGGGGTTGCAATCCTAGTTTCTGATAAAACAGACTGTAAACCAACAAAGATCAAAAGTGACAAAGAAGGCCATTACATAATGGTAAAGGGATCAATTCAACAAGAAGAGCTAACTATCCTAAATATATATGAACCCAATACAGGAGCACCCAGATTCATAAAGCAAGTCCTTACTGACCTACAAAGAGACTTAGACTCCCACACAATAATAATGGGAGACTTTAACACCCCACTGTCAACATTAGACAGATAAAGGAGACAGAAAGTTAACAAGGATACCCAGGAATTGAACTCAGCTCTGCACCAAGCATACCTAATAGACATCTACAGAACCCTCCACCCCAAATCAACAGAATATACATTCTTCTCAGCACTACACCACACCTACTCCAAAATTGACCACATAGTTGGAAGTAAAGCACTCCTCATCAAATGTAAAAGAACAGAAATTATAACAAACTGTCTCTCAGACCACAGTGCAATCAAACTAGAACTGAGGATTAAGAAACTCACTCAAAACCGCTCAACTACATGGAAACTGAACAACCCGCTCCTGAATGACTACTGGGTACATAATGAAATGAAGGCAGAAATAAAGATGTTCTTTGAAACCAATGAGAACAAAGACACAACATACCAGAATCTCTGGGACACATTCAAAGCAGTGTGTAGAGGGAAATTTATAGCACTAAAAGCCCACAAGAGAAAGCAGGAAAGATCTAAAATTGACACCCTAACAACACAATTAAAAGAACTAGAAAAGCAAGAGCAAACACATTCAAAAGCTAGCAGAAGGCAAGAAATAACTAACATCAGAGCAGAACTGAAGGAAATAGAGACACAAAAAACCGTTAAAAAAATTAATGAATCCAGGAGCTGGTATTTTGAAAAGATCAACAAAATTGATAGACTTCTAGCAAGACTAATAAAGAAGAAAAGAGAGGAGAATCAAATAGATGCAATAAAAAATGATAAAAGGGATATCACCACCATTCCCACAGAAATACAAACTACCATCAGAGAATACTATAAACACCTCTGTGCAAATAAACTAGAAAATCTAGAAGAAATGGATAAATTCCTCGACACATACAACCTGCCAAGACTAAACCAGGAAGAAGTTGAATCTCTGAATAGACCAATAACAGGCTCTGAAATTAAGGCAACAATCAATATCTTACTAACCAAAAAAAGTCCAGGACCAGATGGATTCACAGCCGAATTCTACCAGAGGTACAAAGAGGAGGTGGTACCATTCCTTCTGAAACTATTCCAATCAATAGAAAAAGAGGGAATCCTCCCTAACTCATTTTATGAGGCCAGCATCATCCTGATACCAAAGCTGGCAGAGACACAACCAAAAAAGAGAATTTTAGACGAATATCCTTGATGAACATCGATGCAAAAATCCTCAATAAAATACCAGCAAACTGAATCCAGCAGCACATCAAAAAGCTTATCCACCATGATCAAGTGGGCTTCATCCCTGGAGGGCAAGGCTGGTTCAACATACCCAAATCAATAAATGTAATCCAGCATATAAACAGAATCAGAGACAAAAACCACGTAATTATCTCAATAGATGCAGAAAAGGCCTTTGACAATATTCAACAACGCTTCATGCTAAAAACTCTCAATAAATTAGGTATTGATGGGACGTATCTCAAAATAATAAGAGCTATCTATGACAAACCCACAGCCCATATCATACTGAATGGGCAAAAACTGGAAGCATTCCCTTTGAAAACTGGCACAAGACAGGGATGCCCTCTCTCACCACTCCTATTCAACATAGTGTTGGAAGTTCTGGCCAGGGCAATCAGGCAGGAGAAGGAAATAAAGAGTATTCAATTAGGAAAAGAGGAAGTCAAATTGTCCCTGTTTGCAGATGACATGCTTGTATATCTAGAAAACCCTATTGTCTCAGCCCAAAATCTCCTCAAGCTGATAAGCAACTTCAGCAAAGTCTCAGGATACAAAATCAATGTGCAAAAATCACAAGCATTCTTATACACCAATAACAGACAAACAGAGAGCCAAATCATGAGTGAACTCCCATTCACAATCACTTCAAAGACAATAAAATACCTAGGAATCCAACTTACAAGGGACGTGAAGGAACTCTTCAAGGAGAACTACAAATCACTGCTCAATGAAATGAAAGAGGATACAAACAAATGGAAGAACATTCCATGCTCATGGGTAGGAAAAATCAATATCATGAAAATGGCCATACTGCCCAAGGTAATTTATAGATTCAATGCCATCCCCATCAAGCTACCAATGACTTTCTTCACAGAATTGGAAAAAACTACTTTAAAGTTCATGTGGAACCCAAAAAGAGCCCGCATCGCCAAGTCAATCCTAAGCCAAAAGAACAAAGCTGGAGGCATCATGCTACCCGACTTCAGACTATACTACAAGGCTACAGTAATGAAAACAGCATGGTACTAGTACCAAAACAGAGATATAGACCAATGGAACAGAACAGAGCCCTCAGAAATAATGCCACATATCTACAACCATCTGATCTTTGACAAACCTGACAAAAACAAGCAATGGAGAAAGGATTCCCTATTTAATAAATGGTGCTGGGAAAACTGGCTAGCCAGAAGTAGAAAGCTGAAACTGGATCCCTTCCTTACACCTTATACGAAAATTAATTCAAGATGGATTCAAGACTTACATGTTAGACCTAAAACCATAAAAACCCTAGAAGAAAACCTAGGCAATGCCATTCAGGACATAGGCATGGGCAAGGACTTCATGTCTAAAACACCAAAAGCAATGGCAACAAAAGCCAAAATTGACAAATGGGATCTAATTAAACTAAAGAGCTTCTGCACAGCAAAAGAAACTACCATCAGAGTGAACAGGCAACCTACAGAATGGGAGAAAATTTTTGCAACCTACTCGTCTGACAAAGGGCTAATATCCAGAATCTACAATGAACTCCAACAAACTTACAAGAAAAAAACAAACAACCCCCAAAAAGTGGGCGAAGGATATGAACAGACACTTCTCAAAAGAAGACATTTATGCAGCCAACAGACACATGACAAAATGCTCATCATTACTGGCCATCAGAGAAATGCAAATCAAAACCACAATGAGATACCATCTCACACCAGTTAGAATAGCGATCATTAAAAAGTCAGGAAACAACAGGTGCTTGGGAGGATGTGGAGAAATAGGAACACTTTTACACTGTTGGTGGGACTGTAAACTAGTTTAACCATTGTGGAAGTCAGTGTGGTGATTCCTCAGGGATCTAGAACTAGAAATACCATTTGACCCAGCCATCCCATTACTGGGTATATACCCAAAGGATTATAAATCATGCTGCTATAAAGACACATGCACACGTATGTTTATAGCGGCACTATTCACAATAGCAAAGACTTGGAACCAACCTAAATGTCCAGCAACGATAGACTGGATGAAGAAAATGTGGCACATATACACCATGGAATACTATGCAGCCATAAAAAATGATGAGTTCATGTCCTTTGTAGGGACATGGATGAAACTGGAAACCATCATTCTCAGCAAAGTATCGCAAGGACAAAAAACCAAACACCGCATATTCTCACTCATAGGTAGGAATTGAACAATGAGAACACATGGACACAGGAAGGGGAACATCACACACCGGGAACTATTGTGTGATCAGGGGAGGGGGGAGGGATAGCATTAGGAGATATACCTAATGCTAAATGACGAGTTAATGGGTGCAGCACACCAACATGGCACATGTATACATATGTAACAAACCTGCACTTTGTGCACATGTACCCTAAAACTTAAAGTATAATAATAAAAAAAAGAAATAAAACTCTATTGCTAAAAAATGTCAACAATCCTCTGACCCTTCAGTATGTTATGATCCTTCTGCTGGTGGAGGGTCTTGCCTTGATGTTGAGGGCTGCCAACTGATCACACTGGTGGCTGCGGAAGGTTAGGGTGGCTTTAGCAATTACCTAAAATAAGACAAAAATGAAGTTTGCCACAATGACTTTTCCTTTCATGAAAGATTTCTCTGTACCTTGTAATGCTATTCAATAGTTTTTTATCCACAGTAAAACTTCTTTCAAAGTTGAAGTCAATTATCTCAACCCTGCTGCTACTTTATCAACTAAGTTTATGTAATATTAGAAATCCTTTGTTGTCTTTTCAACAGTACTCACAGCATCTTCACTGTCTTTACTTATCCATAAGAAGCAACTCTTCATCCATCAAATTTTTATTATGAGATTGCAGCAATTCAGTCACATCTTCAGGCTCCACTTCAAATTTTAGTACTTTTGCTATTTCTACCTTATCTGCAGTAACCTCCCCCACTGAAACCTTAAACCCCTGAAAATCATCCAAAGTCCTGTCAATGTTAATATTTTGACCTCCTCCCATGAGTCATGAATATCCTTAATGGCATCTAGAATGGTGAATCCTTTCCAGAAGATTTTCAATTTACTTTGCCTAGATTCATCTGAGAAATTACTATCTATGGCAGCTATAGCCTTACAAAATGTATTTCTTAAATAATAAGACTTAAAAGTCAAAATTACTCCTTGATCCAGGGCTTCAGAATGAATCTTGTGTAAACAGGCATAAAAACATTAATCTCCTTGTATATCTTCACCAGTGCTTTTGGGTGATCAGGTGCATTATCAATGAGCAGTAATATTGTGTAAAGAACCTTTCTTCTGACTAGTAGGTCTCAACAGTGGGCTAAAATATTCAGTAAACCATGCTGTAAACCACTGTGCTGTCATCCAGACTTTCTTGTCCCATTTACAGAACACAGGCAGAGTCAACTTAGTATAATTTTTAAGGGCCCTAGGATTTTTGAAATCATAGATGAATGTTGACTCCAACTTAAAGCCACCAGCTGCATTAGTCCCTAACAAGAGAGTCAGCCTGTCCTTTGAAGTCTTGAAGCTAGGGATTGACTTCTCCTCTCTGGCTATGAAAGTGCTAGATGACATCTTCTTCCAATAGAAAGCTGTTTCATCTACATTGAAAATCTGTTGGCCAGGTGCGTGGCTCACGCCTGTAATCCCAGCACTTTGGGAGGCTGAGGCGGGTGGATCACGAGGTCAAGAGATTGAGACCATCCTGGCCAACATGGTGAAACCCCATCTCTACTAAATATACAAAAAATTAGTCGGGCATGGTAGCGGGTGCCTGTAGTCCCAGCTACTCGGGAGGCTGAGGCAGGAGAATGGCATGAACCAGGGAGGCGGAGGTTGCAGTGAGCCGAGATTGCGCCACTGCATTCCAGCCTGGGCGACAGAGCGAGACTCCATCTGAAAAAAAAAGAAAGAAAGAAAATCATCCGTTGTTTAGTGTAGCCAGCTTTATCAATTATCTTAGCTAAATCTGGATAACTTGCTGTGGCTTCTACATCAACACTTGCTGCTTTGCCTTGCACTTTTACATTATAGAGATGGTTTCTTTCCTTAAACCTCATGAACCAACCTCTGCCAGCCTCCAACTTTTCCTCACCTCTCTCAGCCTTCATAGAATTAAAAAGGAATTTGGGTCTTGCTCTGGATTAGCCTTTGGTTTAAGATAGTGTTATGGCTGGTTTGATTTTTTAGCCAGATCATTAAAACTTTCTCTATATAAGCAATAAGGCTTATTTGAAGCAATAAGACTGTTTCACTTTCTATTTGTAGGTTCACTGGAGTAGTGCTTTCAATTTCCTTCAAGAACTTTTTCTTTGCATTAATAACTTGGCTAACCATTTGGTGCAGGAGGCTTAACATTTGGCCTGTCTTCACTTCCAACATGCCTTCCTCACTAAACATAAGCATTTTTAGCTCTTGATTTAAAATGAGAGATATGTGACTCATTCTTTCCCTTGAATGCTTAGAAGCCATTTTAGGGTTATCAACTGGGCTAATTTCAATATTACTGTGTCTCAGGGAATAGTGAGGTCTGAAGAGAGGGACAGATGTGGCAGAATGACCAGTCAGTGGAACTGTCAGAACACACATTTACTGATTGAATCTGCAGTCTTATATTGATGTGGTTTGTGGCAGCCCTCAAAGAATTACAATAATAACATCAAAGATCACTGATCACAGATCGCTGTAACACATATAATAATAATGAATCCTTCCAGTGCTCAAGATGCCAGAATGAAAGAAGGCCAAGGGGAGGAAGGTGGCTCCAGACCCTGCTGTTGGGAAGAAGCAGGAGGCCAAGAAAGGTGTGAATCTTTGGACAGGACATCCAGCCTCAAAGGCATGGGACAGGACATCCAGCCTAAAAGAGACCTCACCCCCTTTATCAAATGGCCCGGCTGTATCAGTTTGCAGTGGCAAAGAGCTATCCTCTATAACCCGCTAAAAGTGCCTCCTGTGATTAACCAGTTCACCCAGGCCTTGGACTGCCAAACAGCTACACAACTGCTTAAGCTAGCCCACGGGTACAGACCAGAGGTGAAGCAAGAGAAGAAACAGGGGCTGTTGGCCCAGGCTAAGAAGAAAGCTGCTGGCAAAGGGGACATCCCCATTAAGAGACCACCTGTCCTTTGAGCAGGAGTTAAGACCATCACTACCTTGGTGGAGAACAAGAAGGCTCAGCTGGTGGTGACTGCAAACGACTTGGATCCCATCGAGCTGGTTGTCTTCTGGCCTGCTCTGTGTCATAAAATGGGGGTCCCTGACTGCATTATCAAGTGGAAGGCAAGACTGGGATGTTTAGTCCACAGGAAGACCTGCACCACTGTCGCCTTCACACACGTTAACTCGGAAGACAAACGAGCTTTGGCTCAGCTGGTGGAAGCTATCAGGACCAATTACAATGACAAATATGATGAAAGTCAATGACAAATATGATGATTTTGAGGATAATCCTTCCTGGTAGGTAGTGTGATTTCTAGTTTATGAAACTGAAGAAGCCAGGATTATGAATTAGGTCTTATTGGACACCATCGCGGGGAAGGCAATGTGCTGGGTCCCAAATCTGTGGTTCACATTGCCATGCTGGAAAAGGCAAAGGCTAAAGAACTTGCCACCAAACTGGATTAAATATATGCTGTTGAGTTTTCTGCATGTGAAAATAATTAAAATAATACAAACTCTCAAAAAAATAATAATGAAAAAGCTTTAAAATATTGGAAGAATTACCAAAACCTGACACAGAGACATGAAGTGAGCACATGCTATTGGAAAAATGGTGCCAATAGACTTGCTTGACACAGGGTGGCCAGAAACCCTCAATTTGTAAAAAATACGATATCTGTGGAGCACAATAAAGCGAAGTACAAAAAATGATGTATGCCTGTACAATACAAAGAATTAACACTAATGTAAATTATGGACTTAAGTTAAAAATAATGTATTAATATTGTTTTATCAGTTGTAACAAATGTATCACTAATGAAAGATATTAATTATAGGAGGAACTAGAACGTTGAGGGGGTATATGGGAACTTGGTCCTTTCCACTCAATTTTTCTGTAAACCTAAAATTGCTCAAAAAATAAAGTCAATTAGTTTTTTTTTTAAAGGCAACTTTGAATTTAAGTTGCTCTGAAGTTCTGCTTGCTGCTTTACCTCTAGATAGAAAATACTTCAATTTAATAGTAGAAAGCATCCATGTTGCCTTTTCTGTGAAAATCTGATTTTTTTTTAATCAGAGAGGTTATCATTCTTTTTTTGAAAGTGTGATGAATTTGATAACATTATGCACTGGTATGTAGATATAAATTGATAGCTGAAACAGTGCAACTTACTTTTCCTATATTCATCATCAAAATTCCTATTCTTTTTAAATTTTGGCTACTGGTGTGTTACCGCACTCTCAGATTAATGTGTCCCAGCATGTAAAGACTCCCATGCTAAAAGCAAGTATTTTGGAAATGTCATTTCTTCTTTTTCTCTTTTAAGGCCTGTGTGAAACATATTTCTTTTAGAAAATGTTTTCTCACACTACACTTTACTAAATTACTGCCTGATGTTCTGAACTGTGCTCACTCTTCTCTCTGACTTCTCTTTGCAGCCAATAATAGCAGAAGCTCTTAACTTCATGCCAGATACTGTATGTGCTAACCATTTTATTTACACTAATTTGATTTTGAGGATAATCCTTCCTGGTAGGTAGTGTGATTTCTAGTTTATGAAACTGAAGAAGCCAGGATTATGAATTAGGTCTTATTGGACACCAAAAGCCTTCTGCTTTCAAGGACTTTGCTGTATGTGTTTTGTTCGCACTGAACCCCCACAGCATCTCTACTATTTTGTAAATGTTAAGCTCTTGCCTGTGTGCATGTTGTGTAACCACAAGGAAATGGTAAACTTGGAAGGGGAAGCACTATGAGTCCTATTTCTTTGTCATCTGCCACTCCCAGTGCCTGCTGAATTCTTAGCTTAGTATTTCGTCCTGAAAATGCTGATGACCAACTCCAAAACTGATTTTTTAATTTTTTTAAATTACAGGCTCATCAAATTAAGAAAGACTGGCTGGGCGCAGTGGCTTACGCCTGTAATCCCAGCACTTTGGGAGGCTGAGGTGGGCAGATGACTTGAGGTCAGGAGTTCAAGAGCAGCCTGGCCAACATGGTGAAATCCCATTTCTACTAAAAATGCAACAAAACAAAACAAATTAGCTGGGCATGGCAGTGCAGGCCTGTAATCCTAGCTACTCTGGAGGCTAAGGCAGGAGAATCACTTGAACCAGGGAGGCAGAGGTTGCAGTGAGCCGAGATCACACCACTGCACTCCAGCCTCCATAACAGAGCAAGACTTTGTCTCAAAAAAAAAAAAAAAAAGAAAATTCAGAAAGACTACTAGCTTTCCACTGAAATATTTTTATTCAGTAAATTCAAAAACTCAAGCACCAGTGCTTTCTTAAAGTACAAAAATTCAGTAAGATCAGAGAATGTCTTAAAGTGTTTTTGATTTGCAAAGTGTTTCTAATATATAATCTCTTTTAATTTTCACAATGCAACCATATAGAATTTTCATTTTAAAATGAAAATTATTATGCAAATATCTAAGTAACAAACCTGTACTTGTACTCACTAAATCTATAAAAATAAATACCATAAAAATTCTGAAACTCAGAGAAGTGAAGTGACTTGTTTGCACTTGGCAGTAATTAGGTGGATTCATACTCCAACCTAAGTCCTCTGATTCCAGAGAGCAGAACTGTCAATTCTCAAGAATTGACAGTTCATGTGTCTGAGTGTGTATTTATTTAAAAGTTTTTATTACAGCGAAATTATCATCCAGAAAGGTTGCTACCAGTTGATACACAATGTAATGAAATGGTTAGAGCATTGACTCTAGAGCCACTTATTAGCTGTGAGACCTCAGTATAAGTTACTAAGCCATATTGTGCCTCAGTTCAACTGTAAAATGTGGATGACAATATAGCACCTAATCATAGGGTTACTGTGAGGATTAAATGAGTTAATATATTTAAAATATGGATGACAATATAGCACCTAATCATAGGGTTACTGTGAGGATTAAATGAGTTAATATATGGAAAACACTAAGAAGTGTCAAACGTTGCCAACATTTGTGATTCTATCAGAAAGCCATTATTAGTAACAATCTAAAGGATCAAAAATGCCATTGACTTTTTGCCTTATTTTGCATTTTCCTAATTACTACTAAGGTGAGCACCATTTTGTGTTGTTGTTGTTTGGTATGATCTCTTCTGTGAATGGTCAGTCCATATCTTTTGCTCATTCTGTAAAATTTTTTGGTCTCTTCATTTTGATTTGTAGGAGATTTATAACATATTCTGGGACTGGGCGTGGTAGTTCACATCTGTAATCCCAGTACTCTGGGAGGCCAAGGTGAGAGCATCGCTTGAGCCCAGGAATTCAAGACAAGCCTGAGCAATATAGGGAGACTCCTTCTCTACAGAAAATTTAAATATTGGCTGGATGTGTGGTCCTAGTTACTGGAGGCTGAGGTTGGAGGATCCCTTGAGCCGGTGAGGTGGATACTGCAGTGAGCCATGATTGCACCACTGCACTCCAGACTGGACTACAGAGTGAGAGTCTGTCTCAAAAACAAAACAAAACAAAACAAAACAAAACATATTTTGGATATGAATCCTTTGTAATACATATATAGCAATCTTTTGCTTTGTCACTTATTTTTAACTTTGTTCAAGTTGTCTTTTTTTGTAGCAGTTTAAAACTTTTATGTACTCAACTTGTCAAGCTTTTCTTTTATAAAACTTTTGATTTGTATCATATATTTTGTAGTTACTTCTAATACTTACATAGTTTTGGTTTTTATATATGGGTATTTTATACCTTAAAAATTAATTTTTGTGTATGGAGGGAGGGATCTCCCTCTTTCCCTCCCAAATGAGTAGGCATCATCACATGAATAATTTGGAGTTTGATAATCTGTTCAAGCTTTAGCACTTGCAGTCCTCACCCCTCAAACCTGCTCTCTGGTTTCCCCTCTGACCTCTTTCTAAAAGATAGGGATATTTTAATATCCTGATGATATTTTCTATCATCAGAGAGGGAGAGTGAGGGAGAATGAGAGGGAGTGAGAGAGAGAGAGAGAGCTGGTCTTCCTTCCTTTTTTTTATAAGGGCACTAATCTCATTATGAAGGCCACGTACTCATGACCTCATCTAACGCTAATTATCTCCCAAGGGTCCCATCTTGAAATATTATCATATTGGGGGTCAGGGCATTAACATATGAATTTGGGGGTGGGGGACACAAATATTCAGTCCCTAAATTCCATCCTTGGTCCCCCAAAATACATGTCTTTCTTCCATGCAAAATACATTCATTCCATCCCAATAGCCTCAAAAGATTTAACTAATTCCAGCATCTACTCTAAAGTTCAAAGTCTCATCTAAATATCATCTAAATAAAATATGGGTGAAACTGGACTTATGATATATAGTGAGGCAAAATTCATCTCCAGCTGTGAACTTGTAAAATCAAAAAAGTTATATGCTTTCAAAATACCCTGGTAGAACAGGCATAAGATAAACATTTCCATTCAAAAACGGTCATTTCAGAAGAAAGAAAGGAGTGACAGGTCCCAAGCAAATCCAAGTCCTGGTAAGGCAAATTTCATTAGATCTTAAGGCTTGAGGATAATCCTCTTTTGCTTGATGTTCTGCTCTCTGGATACACTGTGGTGGCTGCATTGCTCCTTTGTTCCAGGTCAGGGTCCCACCCCAACAGCTTCAGGCAGAGGCTGTTTGGCTGGTTAAAACTAAGGTAGTGGCCTTGATCACCCTCTTAATCACCTTCAGGGTCATTGTTGCCTCTTGATGAATAGTGCATGTTCTCAGCCAAATGGCACTATCATCCCATCCTATCAAATCCAAGAGGTCTAAAAGCCTTCCTTTATTTCATCCCATCTCAATCCCCTTCAGCTCAAACTTGCAATGTTTCTCTTTGTATAATTCCATAAACTCTTTAACAAGTGACAGTCTAGCAACACCTCTGGTGTGCTTTTCAGAATATGCTTTCTTATTTTTGCAATATGGGCAGCTGAGAACTTCTTAAATCTTCAAGTTTTGGGTTTTTTTGTGTGTAACAATTCCTTCTTTAATTCCTCTCTCTCTATTCACGTTTTACTATAAGCAGTCAGGAAGAACTAAGCCACTCGTTCAACACTTTGCTTATATATCTCCTTAGCTAAATACCTAGTTTCATTGCAAGCAAGTTCTGCCTTCCACAAAACACTAGTACACAATTTAGTCAAGTGTTTGTCACTTTATAACAAGGATTGCCTTTCCTCTAGTTCTGATAACAGGTTATTCACTTCCATCTGAGACCACACAAGAATCACTAATGCCCATATTTCTAATATGTGCCTCAAAACTCTTCCAGCCTCTACCCAGTACGCAGTTCCAAAGCCACTTGCACAAATATGTTTAGATATTTGTTACAGTAGTACCCTACTTTTTGGTAACTAAATCTGTTTTAGTCTGCTTGGGCTGCCATAGCAAATACCTTAGATTGGGTGTTTTAAACAATGGAAATTTGTTTCTCATAATTCTGGAGGCTGGAAAATGCAAGATCAAAGTGCTGGCCTATTCATTTCCTGGTGAGGGCTTGCTTTCTGCCTTGCAAATGGCCACCTTCTCACTGTGTCCTTACATACCTTTTTGTGCATGTGTAGGGAGACAGAGACAGAGAGAGGGAGAGCAAGCTCTCTAGTGTCCCTTTTTACAAAGGCACTAATCCCATCATGAGGGCCTCACCCTCATGACCTCATCTAACCCTAATTATCTCCCAAGGACCCTGTCCCTTCATACTATCACACTGGGTATTAGGACTTCAACGTATTAATTGGGGAGGTGGAGGAGACACAAACATTTACTCAGTTACTATTACAGGGCATCAGGTCACATGTTGCTCATGCCTTTCCAACTCAGACAGCCTTAGGACTGGTCTGAGTTTCAAAGGAGAGAACAAAGGTCTTCTTGACCCTTCAAAGCAACATTGTACAGTCTGGAGAATTTGTCATCATCTGCCACCTTGAAGTTAAGCCTATGAGAAAGCAAAAGCTTTCTCATAATGTACCTGGTGTAGGCAGTAGCACTTTGTGGATTTGGGAATACCAGTAACTTGGCTCTACTTTCCAGCAAGAATGGCAAATAGTGTAGTACCCACTGTGGCTGGGAGAGTAAGGAACATTGTAACCATTCTTCTTCATGGTTACCAAGTGGATTTCCCTCTCAAAGTCCATCTCCTTCAGCGTCTGATGCATGCCACATTCTGGAGATAGCACCAGAGACCTCACGTACAGGGCCTGGGCACTGCCATCCGGGCCTTGGCCTCTATCTCAGGCTTAGAGTCCCAGGTGGGAGGTGGGAGGCCCCAGCCTGTCAAGACATGACATTTTAAAGCACTCCACCCACCCACCAGTAAAAACAAAACAAAATAATTTGGTGTTTAGATTAATTAGGAAATTAAAATAATTAGAGAATATCATTATTGATGCATGATGTTGCCAAATAAAAACATCAAATATGCATTAATGAGGGGTATAAGAAGCTGTGACAAGCAATAAAAAATAATAATGCATCATGGTTCACATGTTTGCATACTCTTCTATGTAAACCCATAGAATTTTATTTATATTTAAATTTAGAATTTTATTTATATTATGTTATTTATATTTAGACTTTTTCTGAGTCTAATATCTCACTCCAGAATATGACAGATATTTGGTATGGTGAAACTTTCCTTTTTTTTTTGTATGTTACTCTGAACTGCTTCACAGGTTTAAAATAAGCAGGAACAAAATAAAACCTATGGGCACATCTACATACCCTGGATGAGCAGTAAAACGTGCTGCCACTTAATTGATAAAACTGTATTCCAAGAGCAGCTAGTGTTTCCTTAACTAATATTCATGTTAGTTAATGTTTGGGCTTGAAGATGTTGCCATTTATTCATCCTTTTGTTCAGTAAACAGTTATGGAGCATCCTCTTTGTGCTGCTGCTTTATGGTAAACACTGGACACCAAGTAGAAAACAGGATGCGGAATCCATACTTTGCTAGAGGTTATAGTCAAGTGAGTGGAGTTTACTGCCAAGTAGGACAGAAAAAAATAATACATTGAGGAGACATGAATTTAATAAAGAACAAGAATTATGAAAGTGATCCAAGTGGGGGTAAGTTTAAACAGGAGGCTCAAACTGTTATGAGGATAGGGAAATTGTGAAAATAGCATGGAAATTTCAGGTATGGAGGTGGCAAATACAGTGTCTTAGAAGCATAGGTAGCAAACTATACTTTCTTTTTTTTTTTCTTTTTTTTTTTTTAGAGATGGGGTTTCACCATGTTAGTCAGGCTGGTCTCAAACTTCTGACCTTGTGATCCACCCACCTCGGCCTCCCAAAGTGCTGGGATTACAGGTGTGAGCCACTGCGCCCAGCCTTGCAAACTATACTTTCATTTCAATTTCGAAACTACACTATTCTATGGATTCCTTATCAAGTTAGTAGGAGTAGTAAGGAATGGATATTTGCGGAAGTGTTTTAGAGAAATGCATGTATATATAGCAATGACACCATTATAGTAGGTAATCAAGCAGACACGAGCAAGGCAGGAGAGAGCACCACCCGCCCCACCAGGAATGTCAGGTGACCATCAGCTGATGGTCAGGTGGTGGTTAAACTGCCTCTAAAATAATAATTGTTTGCAGCCAGCAACAGGGAAAGGCAGTCTCCCAACAGACAGAAACAACTGAAACTGGTAATCCACAGCTTCCCGATAAGATCTCAGGAGCTGGGTGAGTGACCTCATGCATAAACACTAAGAGGCAAAATGGCAGAGTTTAACTGGCATATGACCTTATAGGAACACTCAACTGGTAAGGGAAAAACGCCTCAATGAGCATGTGCACAACGTCAGTAAGCACACTGCGCACGTGGCCCCTCCCAAGAGTTGGCAGCCCACTGCACATGTGGACAGCCACTCCAAAAAAAGAATTAGGGAGAAGAGATGAGGGAAGACCCCAGAAGAATACCAATGTATAAAACCCCAAGTCAATGGTCAAACTATTCACATGAATCTCTCAAGTCACTGGTTTGGCCCTCTTCCAAGTGTACTTTATTTTTATTCCTGCTCTGAAACTTTTATTTTTTTTTTGTATTTTAGTAGAAACAAGGTTTCACCGTGTTGCCCAGGCTGATCTTCAACTCCTGAACTCAGGCAATCCACCCACCCTGGCCTCCCAAAGTGCTAGGATTACAGGCGTGAGCCACCGCACCTGGCCCTGCTCTGAAACTTTTTAATAAACTTTCACTCCTGCTCTAAAACTTGCTTTGGTTTCTCACTCTGCCTTATACCCCTCGGTTGAATTCTTTCTTCCAAGGAGACAAGAATTGAGGTCGCTGCAGACTCGTGGATTTTTCACTACTAACAACACTACTAGTATTTTTTTTTTTTTGAGACAGAGTCTCGCTCTGTCACCAGGCTGGAGTGCAACAATACTGCTAGTACTTCGATTTTATACAGTCACTAAATCATTTTTTTAAAGCCAAATACTCAGATAAATATTTCCAAAATCTTGATGATAGAAAAAGAATTCACAGATAATTTGATAGTTGTTCTGGTATACAGATGCTAATGTGTAGGATGAATTAAGGATAGGACAGGCTGGAGTCAGGCATTTCCTGGGAAGGTAATGCATTAGTTTTGGCAACAGCTTGAGGTTTGAGTTAATAGTTCTTTTTATGTCCTACAAAAGTAAAATTTCTATCTTTATATTTTAATATTGAATAACCAAAATATGTAAGTATTATTTAAAAACTTACCATAGTTTTATGTTCTTTCTAAAATTCTAACTTCTATTTTATTATAGTACAATACTTTTCATGAATAGTTTTCTAAGTTTACAATATTACTAATATGACCATATTGGTAATATTCTGAGGAAAGACTAGCATTGTCTTTCTTCACTCTCCTTTTCCCTCCTTCTTTGCTTTCTTATTCTTTTCTAATGCCTTATAACCAATAAAACAAATTAATATCCATGAGCCCATACTAATATAAATAAATCATGGAAGAAATAAATAAATGAGGGAGAAAGGGTAGCTATTTCTTTGAATAAGAGTATACCAATTAATAAATATAGAAGGTATGATGGAAATAGAAAATCACTATTAGGTGAACATCCCAGTAATAATTGTTATAGACAAGAAATAATTGACAAATATTAGAATTAGTGGATGAAAGTATGATAAGAAAAAAGATTATCATACTGTCAACATATCTTCCCTGAGATGTTTCAATGAGCCCAGATCAAAAAAATAATTTTCCAGTGGAGAAACCTGGCAGACGTCTCAGGTATGAGATCAAAGTTAATATCATTGGTGATGTGATAAGACATGTGAACATCATGTGCCTCTTAATAGGATGCACTTTGAAGGGTACAACATCACTTCTCTGATATTCTTGCAAAAAAATGCATAACCTCAAACAAATCTTGAGAAAACATCAGAAAAACTCAAACTAACAGACCTTCCACAAAATAAATGGTCGGTACTCTTAAAAGTGCCAAGGTCTTGAAAGACGAAGAAACAGCCACAGATAAAAAACTAAGAGGACATGACAGCTAAATGCAAAGGAGGATCCTAGATTGGGTCCCCTGGAACAGAACAAGGACATTTTGTAAACAAATGATAATATTCTGGTTTGATAATTGTGGTATACTTACATAAATTGTTATATAAGGGAACCTGGGCATATGGGAACTGTGTGTTCTATTTCACAACTTTTTGTAAGTCTTTTTTTTTTTAATAAGTTAAGACTGGGTGCAGTCATTCATGTCTGTAATCCCAGCACTTAGGGAGGATGAGGTGGGAGGATTGTTTGAGGCCCGGAGTTTGAGACCAGCCTGGGCATCATAGGGAGACCCAGCACCCCCATCCCCCCCGTCCCTCCCTCCCTCCTTCCCTTCCTCCCTTCTCCCTTCCTTCATCTTCCTCTGTCACCCAAGCTGGAGTGCAGTGGCCCAATCTCTGTTCATTGCAGCCTTAGCTCCCAGGATCAAGCCATCTTCTCACCTCAGCCCGCAGAGTAGCTGGGACTACAGGCATGTACCACCACACGCAACCATTTTTTTGTTTGTTTGTTTGGAGAGACAGGGTTTTGCCATGTTGCCCAGGCTGATCTCGAACTCCTGAGCCTAAGCAATCCACCTGTCTTAACCTCCCAAAGTACTGGGACTACAAGCATGAGCCACTGCACCTAGCCAATACAAAAAATTTTCAAAAAATTAACTGGACATGGTGGGGTGCACATGTAGTCCCAACTACATAGGAGGTTGGGGAGGGAAAATTGCTTGAGCCCAAGTATTTGAGGCTGCTATGAGCTGTAACTATGCCACTGCATTCCACATTCCACCCTGGGTGACAGAGTGAGACCCTGTCTTTAAAACAAAAAAAAATAATAAATTAATGTACACACCTACACTTGTGTGTGTATGTGTGTGTGTATACACAGTCATGTGTCACTTAATGATGGGGATACATTCTAAAAAATGCATCTTCAGGTGACTTTGTCATTGTACAAACATTATAGCATGTACTTACACAAACCTAGACCATACAGCCTACTACACATCTAGGTTGTGTAGTGTAGCTTATTGCTCCTAGGCTACAAACTTATATAGCATGTTACTATACTGAATGCTGTAGGCAACTGTAACAAAATGGTAAGCATTTGTGTATCTAAACACATCTAAACATAGAAAATATACAGTAAAAAATATGGTATAAAAAATAAAAAATGGTACACTTGTGTAGGGCACTTACCATGAATGGAGCTTGCAGGACTATAAGTGAGTTGCTCTGGGTGAGTCAGTGGGTGGTGAGGGAATGTGAAGGCCTAGGACATTACTGCACAATACTGTAGACTTTATAAACATTGTATGCTTAGGCCACCGTAAATAAAAATTTTTCTTCAGTAAATTAACGTTAGCTTATTGTAACTTTTAACCTTATGTTTTAATTTTTTAGAACTTTTTGACTCTTTTGTAATAGCATTTAGCTTAAACCACAAACACATTGTACAGCCATACAAAAATATTTTTCTTTCTTTATGTTTTTATTTGAGCAGCTTTCTATTCTTAAATATTTATTTCTTACTTTTAAGCTTTTTGTTTAAATAGAAATATGAATGGCTGGTAACCCCCATATAGACTGAATTTGAGCTATGGGAGAAAATGTAAAAAGGAAAAGAAAGAGAACTTTGGACAAGACCTGGGAGTTTCAAAATTTAGAAACTGGGAAGGGAAGACCTACAAAGAAGTCCAAGATATAGTTATCTAAATTGGTGGTCTAAAACTAGAGAGTTTCTTGGGAAAATCAAGCACAGTCAACAGTTTTCTGTTTTTGTTTTTTTGAGACAGAGTCTTGCTCTGTCACACAGGCTGGAGTGCAGTGGCACAATCTTGGCTCACTGCAACCTTCACCTCCCGGGTTCAAGTGATTCTTCTGCCTCAGCCTCGGGTGTACCTGGGATTAGAGGCGCACACCACCACATCTGGCTAATTTTTGTATTTTTAGTAGAGATTGGGTTTCACCATGTTGACCAGGCTGGTCTTGAACTCCTGGCCTCAAGTGATCTGCCCGCCTTGGCCTCCCAAAGTGCTGGGATTACAGGTGTGAGCCACTGCGCCAGGCCACAGTCAACTTCTAATAGCTATTTGTACTTCAAAGACAATGTTGCTAGAAGAGGGATTTTCAGGTCATCCATAAAGATTTGATACTGAGTATCAAATGATATGCATTGTATTTGGAATTGTAAGTACAATGTATCAGGCATGGTATCTACTTTAAAAGTTTACAATCTAGCACAGAAGCCATGTTTAAACAAATAAATTTAAAATAAATTAATACTTTAATTATGCCCATATACAGTGTGAGTATCCAAAAGGTGTCCTTGGTCTAGCATAAGTGCAAGAGAGGAGTCTAACAATACTTTCAAGATTGTGTAGAATTTGCCCAAAGAAATAAGGGGTAGAATGGAGACAAGCCGATGAAAGTAGTTTTAAATATGGGATCGTTTATGCGCTAAAACACTTAAATTGATTTAGTAATTTACAAATGGAAATGGAATTTAGACTGATCCCTTTTGTACATTCATTAGTGAGCTTTCTGAAATTGTGAACTGTCTCCTTGCCTTCCTACCACCAATTCTTAGCTCCTTGGGCACCTGGCTTTTCTTTTTCTTCTTCTTTTTTTTTTTTTTTTTTTTTTTTGAGACAAGAGCCTCGCTCTGTCACCCAGGCTGGAGTGCAGTAGTGCAATCTTGGCTCACTGCAACCTCTGCCTCCTGGGTTCAAGCTATTCTCCTGCCTCAGCCTCCTGAGTAGCTGGGACTACAGGCACGTGCCACTATGCCCAGCTAATAATTTTTTTGCATTTTTAGTAGAGACGGGGTTTCACCATGTTGGCCAGGCTGGTCTCGATCTCCTGACCTAGTGATCTGCCTGCCTTGGCCTCCCAAAGTGTTGGGATTTCAGGCATGAGCCACCACACCTGGCCAGACACCTGGCTTTTCTTTCCCCTGTCCTATTCAAACTACTCTCTCACAGTTATAATTAGCTTTGCTGATGTGATAGATCCGTTGATTCCTTCCCTGTCTTCATTCCTTTGGGTTCGTCTAGTGCCTTGATGCTCTTGTTCTGCCTTTATTTTTGTCATGTTACTTCCAACCCAAGTGTTCTTTCTACCATACACTTTCTGTTTCCTATCAGATGAGCTTTCCTTTCTTCCCGCTCAACTTGCCTGTTTCTGCTAATGATATCATTATTCTCTCAATTGCCTAGATTTAGGAATATTTTTTAAAACCACTCATAAATTCGTAATCTCCGATTGGCAGGACTTCAAGAGGCCCTTTAGTTCACATTTCCCCCTCATCCTTCCTAGTTGATGCTTTCATCTTTTTGATGATATCTTCAGGGAGTGTTTTTCTAGCCTATGACTGAACATTTTAAATGGCAGGGAGTTTAATACCTTAACCTCCTATTATTCTTCTCCTGTGTTGCTAATTCCTGTTCATTTTTCCTTTTAGAATGTCTTTCATTTATAAGTTCTACTTCTCCATTTTTACCATATTCACTATTAAGATGCCTAGTTCAGGCCGAGTGTGGTGGCTCATTTCTGTAATCCCAGGACTTTAGGAGACGGAGGAGGGCAGATCACTTGAGGTCAGGAGTTTGAGACCAGCCTGGCCAACGTGGCGAAACCCCATCTCTATTAAAAATACAAAAATTACCTGGGTGTGGTGGAGCGCACCTGTAATCCCAGCTATTTGGGAGGCTGAGGCAGGAGAATTGCTTGAACCCAGGAGGTGAAGGTTGCAGTGAGCCGAGACTGTGCCACTGCACTTCAGTCTGGGAGACAGAGTGAGACTCCATCTCAAAAAACAAAGAAAAGAAAAGAAAAGAAAAAGCCTAGTTCAGGCCTTACCATGTCATAACTAAAAAAGTATGACAGTATGACCTGGTGACCTGACTGAGTGTCCCCAGTACATCTCATAGACTTAGACCAGATTCATAATCCTTTTTAAAATCTTATTTTACTTTGCACATTTAAAAAATCCTGCCTTTATCTTATCACTCTTCCACTCACAAAGTTTAAAGCATTTCCTGTATTTTCTATTAAATTCCTGTACTATCCTGTACTATGAACACTGTACCTACACCCCTGACTTCTCATTGACATAAAAAAAAACACCTTTTTGTTGTTGTGGTGGTGGTGGTGGTGCGTGCATAAGCAAGTGTGTTCAGGTGCTGCCATGATCTTGTTGTTAATTTATTGTCCATCAACATCTTACTGTGTCCATATCTTTTTTTAATCCCTATTGTTAACATCACATTTAGAAACAAGTCCTTTAAAGAGTCATTTGGGCCAAAAAGGCAGTTTAACAACAATTTTTCTATCAGAAATGGTTTTTCACTTTGCACTACTGCAAAAATTAGAGGAGTAGCTTAGCATTATAAAATCAGTACAAATGTCATCAGTTTCTCTTGTCTGGGAAGGCTTCCTTGGTAGAGCCTACTGTGAAATAACTGGTCTCAGAACCAATCAAGGAGATTAAAGCAGAGTTTTACTTTAATTTAGGTAAAGCATCTTAGAAAGGTAACATGCATATTTTTGCTTAAAAAGCATCAATTCTACCAAATGGGCATCTGCATAGGGAATACTTAGGTATCTAGATGTTAGTGCTTTGTTACTCTACTGTAGCTTAAAAAAAAATTTTTTTTTTGAGGGGAGGTAAATCTAAGCACATGTTCAGTGAAGTTAGTGAAATATATATTATCCCCAACTTAAAAAGACAACTTTGTATTTTTAATTGATAGAGGTTTATGGAAAGAGAATATGGATGAAAAATTCAGGGCTTTATTAATCTTTTGGCTTAGGGTGTCCAGAACCATGAGAATTTGAAAAGTATCCATGTGGTGGTAACAAGAAAAGAAAATGGTTAGGAAAAAAAAAAAAAAGGCTGGAACTCCAATCAACAGATGGAGGAAAAGAATGGTGGTATTGATGAATAAATAAAAGATGAGGGGGTGGTAAATGGTGAAATGTTCTCTCTTAAAAATGGCTAATAAAATTATCTTTCAGTGATTGAGTTCTATAATACTCTAAAATAAAATTTAAAAAAACACACACACACAAAGAATGAGGTTCTAATGAATGACTATCCCAAACTGCCTATCAAGTTTGGTCCTGCACAGTTAGGAAAAAACATACTCCTCTTACAAATTTGGCTAGAGATTTTGGCTCAGAACCAGCATGACTTAATAGCTGTAATTTGCATTTGAATGCAATTAACTGGGCCAGTACTTTGAGGGTAATCAAGCTGTCTGCAATATGCATATGCTGCAAACTCAACAAATGTCCAAAGCACTGGAGGGGAGGCTTTATTCTTTGAATTTCCCTTATGCAGGGAACTCAGGTCCAGGTCCTTAAATTCAGTTAGATTTCAAACTCTGATCTTAAATGTGAACGATGAAATCTAAATTTTATCTAATTCTTTATTCTTAATGAATAAAAGTTGAGCTTCTTGTCTTTTTTTTCTTAGAATTTCACTGCTTTTCAGAAGTGATTTATATCATTTAAAAAATTTCAACTAGTATGAAAAGATACAAAGAAGGAAAATAAATTTCCTCAAACCCTTACTTCGCACCCAGAAATAACTCACACCCTATTCAAAATAAATAAAAATAAAAAGAGAAAATATGCATATAGTTAAAAGTTTGATTTTTCAGTAATGTTATGAGTCATTAAAATGAGTTTATAAAATGTTAAACTGCTTTTATTATAAGATAAATTACTACTATTAGAATTTAAGATCATCTCATTATTTCAGCACATATTCTTCACATGCAAACACTTGTTGTAGTGCAGGCTGAGATTTTTTCCTAAGTCCCAAAACTACAATGATAGTGAAAATAACAGTGAAGGACAAAGAGCTCAGAAAAGGGAGTCAAGATACCTGAATTTTAATTTATCTCTACCATTAACTTACAGTGGTGGTGGTGGTGGTGGTGTGTGTGTTGGGAAGTAGGTGGAACTGGTGTGATGGTGAATTCTCCTCTTCACAAAATTAATAAACTTCCTAACCTGCAAAATTAGTAGGATGGAGTAGAATTGTAAAATATCTTTTATCTCCAAAATTACAGCAGCATTGCTTACATTTGCTGGTTTACAGAAACTCAAGTGGTGCTCTACTTTTCTTCCTGAGTGTTTGAAAGCCACCTTTATCAGACATTATGGTCTGGAAATAGTCTATCTGAGAACTATAACCAGTAGGCAGCAGATTATCTACACTGAAAACTTGCTTTATGTGGAAACCAAAGCATAGCATGCCCTTCTGCTGGTAATCACCAATTTATTTATTCAACAAGTAAGTATTGGCTGCCCTTCTGGGTTTTCCACAAATACTGCCTTTTAGGAATTTGCAGTCTAGTTGAGTCAGAAAGTGATCATTACCACAACTAAAACATAAGCAAGATGCAATGGAGATTTGGCAGAAGGAAAAGATACATTTGGTCCAGGAGAGGAGTAAACTCAGGAAAAGGCTGAAGAAAGAGGTGGTTTTGAATTGGGCTTGAAATGTAGATAACATTTTATCAGAGATTATTGGGAAGGCTTCTAGTTCCTCTTACGTAAAATGGAAATAAAAATCCTACCAATGCTGGGTGCAGAGGCTCCCATCTGTAATCCTAGCACTTCGGGAGGTGAAGGCAGGCAGAATGTTTGAGCCCAGGAGTTTGAGACCAGCCTGGGCAACATGGCAAGACCCGGCTCTAAAAAACCTTAAAAAATTAGCTGGGCATGGTGGTGCACACCTGTGATCCCAGCTACTAGGAGGCTGAGGTGGGAGGCTCTCCGAATCTGGGATGTTGAGGCTGCAGTGAGCTGTGATCGTGCCACTGGACTCTAGTCTGGGCGATAAAGCCAGAACCTGTCATAAATAAATAAATAAATAAATAAATAAATAAATAAATAAATGTACCCACCTTCTAGGCTGTTGAGAGAATTAAGTGAAATAACACTTGCTGGACTTAACTCCATGCACTGGCATGATGAAAGAGCCCTATGCGTGTAAATACTTTTCATTATTAGTGGGGAAAATGTACACACACACACACACACACACACACCCACTCATAAATAATCACTGAAGGAAAACTGATATTTCTGATGGTGGCATTAAGGGTTAGCTTTCTAAAGATTTTTCCAAAAATATTTCTGAAGGGATGGTTGTCTAGGCATGCTTTTCCAAAGCCAGCTGTTTGCATACAAAATTATAATCAGATCTTTTTCTTTTCATCTTTTTTCTAGCAGCCAAAAGGAAGAGTCAAATAACGTTTAATGACTGATTAGAATGTGGAAACTAGAAAACACAGGGTAGATGGCCTAGAGGGAGAAAACCAGTGAGATAGTTACACTAATGCATGCTGTAACTTCTTTTTGGCTGCCTCTTTTTGGCTGCCTTACAGTAGGTGCTGTAATGAATCTTTCTTCCAAATGTACCTTAGACAGGTGCAGCTGCAGCATCAGTACCTGCTTTAAAAACAATGTATTTATAAAAATATTTATTTATTTATTTATTTATTTATTTTAAGATGGAATTTTGCTCTTGTTGCCCAGGCAGGAGTGCAATGGCGTGATCTCAGCTCACTGCAACCCCTGCCTCCCAGGTTCAAGCAGTCCTCCTGCCTCAGCCTCCCAAGTAGCTGGGATTATAGGCATGCGCCTCCATGCCCGGCTATTTTTTGTATTTTTAGTAGAGATGGGGTTTCTCCATGTTGGTCAGGCTGGTCTCAAACTCCCGACCTCAAGTGATCCACCTGCCTTGGCCTCCCAAACTGCAGGGATTATAGGCATGAGCCACCGCACTGGGCAAAAATAATTATTATAAAATTAGTTTTGATGTGCACTTACTGGGAGCTGGTGCTGTGATTTACATATGATAAGCAAAGCTCTTTAAACCCCTAAACAACTCAATAAGCTTGGAAGTACATTACTTACTTATAAAAAACTGAGACTAGAAAGGGCTCATATTTGTCCAAAGACATATAGTCATTCAGCTAATATTTAATAACCCCTAATATGTGTCAGACATTAAATTACATGTCAGACTGTTGAGGGAACTACAGAAATATCTGTGAATAAAGCAGAAATGTTCTCTGCTATCTTGGATCTCATATTCAAATTCAGGGAGGCAGACAATAAACAAAAAATAAGACAATATCAGCTAGTGATAAGGGCTACGAAGAAATAAAATACTGATATGATAGTTCATAACTGAGTGTACAGGGTCAGAGATCAGTACAGTTACACAGAGCCTTCTGTTCAGAAGGGCCACACTCTTGGTTTAATAATATTCTGCTGTCATTGTCTTGAAATTCTTAATTTTATCTTCTGACTTGTGTTTTATAAGTGTGGTTTGATAAGGCACTGTGACATATGAATAAGCAGAAGACATATGTAGAACATGTATGTCCTCTGTTCCTTGCCATGCCATTCTTATGTAGCATTTGTGATCTCTCATGAGCATGGAATTCCAGTTGAATCACCACCCTGGAGAATTCAGTGAGATTCAAAGCCAGTGTGAGATAAATGTTCTATGTCTTCCACGGAGGAAGCAGGAATGCTGATATGTTTAGAAGCCATGCTTCTCTCAAACCAGAACTTGCTTCTGATGAAAGAAAAACTTCAGCCGAATTAAATTTAAAGGAGTTTAATTGGGCATTGAACAATTTGCGAATCGAGCAGCCCCCAGAATCACAGCAGATTAATAGAGACTCCAGGGGTGCCTCGTGTTCAGAACAAATTTATAGACAAAAAAGGTAAAGTGATGTACAGGGATCGGAAGTGAGGTACAGAAACAGTGAAATGGGTTACTACTCGGTGTTTGCCTTATTTGAATGCAGTTTGCACATTCTGCAGTCTATGAGTGGTTGAAGTATGGCTGCTGGGATTGGCCAACACTCAGCTATTATTACAGGTACATGCTACCAAGTTAGGTTTTCAATTTTGTCTATTAAGCTAGGTTACAGTTCATCCACAAGGACTCAAATATAGAAGTACAGAGTCCTTCTCAGGCCATAGTTTACTTTAACACTTCCAATGCAAAAAGAAGGCAATGACATTCTGAAAGATGACCAAAGAACCCAGTCTTATTCTTTTCTTCTTTCATTAATTCTTGTAGCAGCCAGCCATTAACTCCAAAAGTGATGATGTAATGTATTAGTCCCTTATTATGCTGCTATCAAGAAATACCAAAGACTGGGTAGTTTACAAAGGAAAGAGGTTTGACTCACAGGTTTGCATGGTTGGTGAGGCCTCAGGAAACTTAAAATCATGGTGGAAGGCACCTCATCACAGGGTAGCAAGAGAGAGAATGAGTGCCAAGTGAAGGGATAAGCCCCTTACAGAACCATCAGATCTCATGAGAACTCACTCACTATCAGAACAGCATGGTGGAAACTGCCCCTGCAATTCAACTATCTCCACCTGGTCCTGTCCTTTGATGCATGGGGATTATCACAAACAAGGTGAGATTTGGGTGGGCACACAGAGCCAAACCATGTCAGTAAAAGGAAAGGTAAAGACGGGACAGAGTAGTTTCCTTTCTTTTCAGTTCTTCCTTATTAATCTGTAAGTCAAAGGTAGGAAATGTTATTAGCATATGTGTGTATGAAATAAAAACAGTTGAGTTAGTTTTGTGCAGTGTTTCTACTGTTAAGAATAAAATGCATGTATGAATTATGAAATAAGTTGTATAATTTTTATAATCCCATGTAAGAGTTAAATGCTCTTCTGTTGATACTTAAAACCAGCATTGTACACTATAAAGATGAATGGAGAAAGTCATGGAAATATCTAAAACTTTAACTTTTCTTTCTGGAGAATGACATTAAATAGCAAATAAAAAACACCGTGACACAAGAGAGCTTAAAGGAAGGGGAAAAACTTTCTATTTTCGTACCTTTCATATCATTTTTATCTTCCTTTTCTTACAAGATCCCTCACATCTTCATTTTGTACCGGGTTGTGCAAATCAGGTAGCTGGTCTTTGTGGGGGTGCTATTTTAGACTGGGTGATCAAGAGAGGCCTCTTTGAGAAGACAGCATTTAAACTGATAACCTAGAAATTAAAAAAAAAAAAGCCAACGATGGGAAGGTCTGGGGAAAGAACATTCCAGGGAGAGGGTATAGCTAGTGCAAAGACCCTCAGGCAGGAAAGAACTTTATGAGTTCCAGAAATAGAAAGAAAACCAGTCTCACCAAAAAGTAGTTGTTAAGGTATAGAGTGGCAAAAGGTGAGGTCAGAGTTGGGGCAGGGACAGTGTGTGAAGGTCTTAAAGTGTAGAATAATTTATTCTATTTGTGTTAGTAGCCATTGGAAGGTTTCAGGCAGAGAAATGACATAAATGACTTATGTTTAAAAGGACATTATTCTGGCCAGGCACAGTGTCTCACACCTGTAATCACAGCACTTTGAGAGGCCAAGGCAGGCGGATCACCTGAGGTCAGGAGTTCGAGACCAGCCTGACCAACATGGCGAAACCTCGTCTCTACTAAAAATACAAAAATTAGCCAGGCATGGTGGTGGGTGCCTGTAATCTCAGCTACTCAGGAGGCTGACGCAGGAGAATCATTTGGACGCAGGAGAATCATTTGAACCCAGGAGGCAGAGGTTGCAGTGAGCCAAGATTGCCCCACTGTATTTCAGCCTGGGCAACAGTGAGACTCTGTCTCAAGAAAAAAAAAAAAACCAACAAAAACATTATTCCTGCAATATGAAGGCAAGAGTGGACTCAGGGAGACCATCCTGTGCAGTTTATATCTGAAGAATTCCTTACCCGTCCAGGTAAAATTCATCGTATTTCTCTCGTAATTTCTGTTATTCCATTTAGTATTTTCAAACATATCTTCCTGTGCTAGACAGTAAACTCCTTGTAAGCACTGACATTGTCTTATTCTTCTCTAAATCACTGTTGTCCCTCACTTTGTTTGCATATAATCACTTAAAATATTTATTGAGTCAATGATTGGAATAAGACTTAAACCACTCTTGCAGTAAAAGCTCTTCCCTTGGAACTTTCTTGAAATTAAGAAATTAAGATTATTTAGAGGAGTCATGGCCAGGCGCGGTCACTCACGCCTGTAATCCCAGCACTTTGGGAGGCCGAGGCGGGTGGATCACGAGGTCAAGAGATCGAGACCATCCTGGCCAACATGGTGAAACCCCGTCTCTACTAAAAATACAAAAAGTTAAGCCAGGCGTGGTAGCAGGTGCCTGTAGTCCCAGCTACTCGGGAGGCTGAGGCAGGAGAATGGCGTGAACCCAGGAGGCAGAGCTTTCAGTGAGCCGAGTTGGTGCCACTGCACTCCAGCCTGGGCGAAAGAGTGAGACTCCAGAGCGAGACTCCAGAGCGAGACTCCATCTCAGAAAAAAAAAAAAAAAAGAGGAGTCATAAGGAAAGGTGTTATAGCAGC
This sequence comes from Homo sapiens, assembly GCF_000001405.40. NCBI lineage: Eukaryota > Metazoa > Chordata > Mammalia > Primates > Hominidae > Homo > Homo sapiens. Next base: position 39,445,988 of record NC_000012.12, on the reverse strand, counting down.
TGTAAATGAATTGGAACTAAATACAAAATAGTATGTTAATTTTACAACTTTAGAAATTTGGGGAAAAATTACTGACTAGGTCATTAATGAGAATTTGAATTTCTACACTGCCTCTTCCTGAAACCATGTGCAATATGAACCCAAAGCCACAGCTGTTATTGGTGCTAATATTTTGTCCAGAAGTTCCAGCCTGGTGTCTTGGGACTAAAGTTGGCCTGAGACATATTTTGTCTGGTTTGCAGCATATGTAAATATTGTGCTGAATTAGTCGTTGGTGTTTAAAACTAAGGAGTTTTTTCATAAAGATCTGTTTTTCTCTTTTTCTTGAGAAGCAACATACATACAAGAAATAAAAATCTTGGCAGCATTGGATTTGCATTTCATCAAGGCAATATTCAGCCAGAGCTGAGGATGGCCACCACCTTTGGAAGGGGCCTGTGTCTCTATTTTATGATAGTCCTCACCTTTATCATAGTATTCATCTTGCTCTGCTCTTTTGAGCTACCTGCCTGGCTCCTGTAGGCATTTGTGTTTGTGACTCCCCTTACTGAGACATATATGTATACTATTGTTATTTAAAATGAGAACTTTTTTTGGCCAGGTGAGGTAGCTCATGCCTGTAATCCCAGCACTTTGGGAGGCTGAGGTGGGCGGATCACTTGAGGTCAGGAGTTTGAGACCAGCCTGGTAAACATGGTGAAATCCCATCTCTACTAAAAATACAAAAATTACCTGGATGTGTTGGCACATGCCTGAAATCCCAGCTACTCCGGAGGCTGAGGCACGAGAATCCCTTGAACCCCGGAGGAGGATGTCGATGTCGCAGTGAGCTGAGATCACACCATTGCATTCCAGCCTGGATGACAGAGCGAGACACTGTCTCAAAAAATAAAATAGGCTGGGTGTGGTGGCTCATGCCTGTAATCCCAGCACTTTGGGAGGCCGAGGCGGGTGGATCACAAGGTCAGGAGTTCAAGACCAGCCTGGCCAATACGGTGAAACTCTGTCTCTACTAAAAATACAAAAATTAGCTGGGCATGGTGGCACACGCCTGTAGTCCCAGCTACTCAGGAGGCTGAGGCAGAAGAATCGCTTGAACCCGGGAGGCAGAGGTTACAGTGAGCCGAGATCACGCCACTGCACTCCAGCCTGGTGACAGAGCAAGACTTTGTCTCAAAATAAAATAAAATAAAAAAGAACTTTTTTTAAAAAGAGGGTCTTAATTATACAAATTTCTCTTTAGTTTTCTTGTTAAATGTGCTGGGCCATTCTTGCTTTCCTTGCAGCTTTCATCAACAAAAGAAGCAAGGTGGCCAGCCCAGATCCACCCAGATATGGGCTTGCCAGGGCAGGGTGAAATGCAGCTCTGATTTGTTGATGGATAAATTTTGAGGCTAGGAAAGGCCCTCCAAAGAGTAGCCAGAGGAGAGCTTTCCCACCAATTTGATCTATAGAAGGATACTCAGCATCTCTGCCCTCTTTACCTCCCAGTTACATGTCTGTTAAGATTTAGGGGTAGTGAGATTAAGGGACAGAATAAATTTAAAACTATCTATAATTATATACCCCATCGGCCTTCCCATGGGTTTAAATCATCAAACACTTCTTGTTTTTCCCATAGTGTTGCAGCCTTCTCTGAGCCACACTGCTGTATCACTGCTGAACAAGATGATTAGGTATGTGATTGTAGATTGCAGGCATTTGAGGTAGTGCCTTTATTTGGATAGTGCCATTTAATTTGTGATACTATTTCGTATGAAGCCACATGTTTGTTTATAGAGATGTATGGAGCAGTCCACAAAAGATACTCTGTGGCAAAGCTAATAAAGGCTGTTTCCACAGAGCTATCTGAAGGCATGTGGAAGCACAATAGTGACAAACAGAAACCACAATGGGTCAATGTTGAGAGAATCCTGGGATTGGGAGGTGCTTTTTAAAGGCCAGAAGGGAAAGAAAATCAGTTTGGAAGGATTTACTACACAGCAGGTCTTGGTGGATATATTCAGTTCTGGGAACACTTGGCAGTACCAGGGTGCAGTTCATTTACCAGTGTACAAATGATTGAACAGAAAAGCATTCAGGAGTCTCGAATAAATCATTTCCATATCCCACCCGAGCTGGTAAACGGGCGATGAACTGTAGAACAGCCCAGCTGTCCAGAGACAGTGGACAAACCTGGGAGTCCGTTTAGCATGAATGACTGACTCCGGGGAGGGAGGAGGGAGGGCGTTCAGCTGGGGGCTAGGGAAGGGGGTCAAAGTCCAAGCTGCAGAGAGGACAATAAGGCTATGCGTGGGACACAAAGCCGAACCGCAGCAGCAGCTGCCTGGCTCCCGGCGCGCCGCTGAATCAAGCTTCGATTTGAGAAGGGACCTGGCAGCAGCGCGTGCACTAGCTGCTTCCTTCTCCCAGAAGAGCCTGGAAGGGCGCACAGGCTGGTCGCCCTCGGGCGAGGGCAGCCGGCGGCAGGCATCCCTCCCCCTCGCCTCCCTGCCCAGCAGCGCCAGGCAGTGTCCCGACGAGGGCAGGGCGGGGCGCAGGCTGGGGGAGGGCGAGGTGGGGCTGAGCCGCGCGGCGGCGGCTGACGCAGTGCGGGGCGAGGAGCCCGGAGCGCCCTGGCGGGCGTGGAGTCCCCAGCCTGGCCGCTGGGAGGCCGCGTCCCCACCGGAGGGGGCAGGGCGCACTCACCCGGCCGCCCTGAGGCCGCTGGCGGCCTGTTGGCTTCTCCACAGGCGCGCTCGCCGTTCAAGCGCGCTTTGTCCCCGCCCCAGATCCTGGGGGGTGAGCGGTGGAGAAGGGGCGGGCGCCCGCGAGCCGTGAATCACCTCCTCCTCTTGCTGCCTCAGCGCCGCCGCCACCTTTCCATTCAGTCGCCCAACATGGCTGGAGCGCGGCGGAGGTGAGCCGGCCGCCCGCCCGCAGACGCCCCAGCCTACTGCGCCCGAGTCCCGCGGCCCCAGTGGCGCCTCAGCTCTGCGGTGCCGAGGCCCAACGGCTCGATCGCTGCCCGCCGCCAGCATGTTGGGCGCCCCGGACGAGAGCTCCGTGCGGGTGGCTGTCAGGTGAGGACAGTCTGCCGGCGGCGGGCGGCGGGCGGCGGGTTGAGGGCGCGGCAAGGACCTGGCTGTGGCGCGGAGCACCGGCTACCGGGGTGGAGCGACCTGAGGGGCGTCCCGGCCGGGTTCTGCGGCTGAGGAAACTGAGGCAGTGAGTCCCCGCTGGCCTGGCACGCGCGGCCGGGTGCTGGCAGGGCGACTGCGCCGCCCTCACGCCGTCTGTGTTTGCAGGTGGCTGGCGGCTGCGCGGCGCCGGGTCCCTGGGGGGCGTCTTGACTTCTCTGGGGGAAAAGCCCTCGTCACTCCCCTCCGTCCCCTCGCGGGATCAGTCACCTCAGGTCTGGCCGCCTTGGGCTATCGCCTGTCCGGGAGGAGCTGCCTGTGCGCGGGGCTGTGGTGTTCTTTTTTATTAGTTCTAGAATGTCTGTCATACGTGTCCATGCAGCTCCGGCCTTCCCAGGCAGGAGACAAAGCATCTGACTATCAGCGCCGGCGACCGCAGGGCCCGCCGCGCGCCCACTCGGGTTCTGATGTCTGTGCAAATGAGACATCTTTTTCAGCATCACGGGGATCTAGACATGCCCCCGCGTGTGGGTAGAGGAGACAGATCTAGCCTCTTGGGTGTTGGAATGGGAGTGGAATTTAAGGTAAAATCCACTGGGGAGAGGTCTACAGAAGGAGGAAAACTCTTTAGCCAGAGGAAGGGTGAAATGGGTGACTGTGTGAAACATACTGACATTAGGCAGGGTGGATACAATGTAATCGTAACGTTACCCAGGCCAGGGTGTGAGTCTGGAAATACTAGGTACATCCTAGTATTGAAATTATATTTCGGCCAATGACAGGCACGAGTATTCGATGTAATTTCGGCTGTTTTGATACTTATCAAGAAGGAAAGCTCTGATAGTTGCTCATGGAAAATTGCAACATCATCACACTGTGTGAAAAATTAATGAAGCATTCATCCTAGAGTAAGTGCGTGGCTTTCACAGCTCTGAGAGTCTACTGTTAATTCACTTCTCCTTATTTATGCTTTAAGGATTATAAAAATAATCTACACTCCAAGGAATTAGGAACTATTAACAATCTCCCAGTCTTGTAGTCTTTCCAGAAAATTATTCTAAAAATTCTCCCCTCTAAACATTTCTATAGTTACTATTTTAGTGACACATCTTGGGTCAGGCATAGTAATGGCTGTTTCGTATACTTTGTATCTTTAATTAACTTAAATAATAAAATGAGTTTTTAAGTGTTTTTTTTTTTTTTTTTTTTACCACCCAGGGAGGTGACAGTTTTATGACTGGTTAGAATCACCTGTTATAAGGCTTTTGAAGTTTTAATTAGGCCTTCTTCGTTATTCTAGGGCTACTTATCCAATTGTTAGATTAGTCTGTTTCTCCTATTCACTGCTACTACCTCTCTTTTGGCCCTTTAATACCAGTTAATGACTGCACCAGGGTGGAGAAAGGGGAAGGAAAAAGACAGAAAACCCAATAAGAGGCAATTTTGTTAGGAGATCTGATCAAGGAAAGTGAAGAAGGTGCATAAAATATTACTGAAAACAGACAATTTGTCTGTTTTTAGACGTTTGAGATTTTTATATGTGAATTCTCTAGACTATCACAAGGCAGTTTGTTGACCATTCTGTTAAATCCGATGCTTCTTTGCCTGTAGAGCCATGGATGACCCTAAAGTGATGCTGACTGATAAATAACTTGTATTTTGTTTTGGTGTGTATGTTAGGACTTTTTAGGTGAATGAATGTGGGTTTGATTTTTGGGGAAAGGCTTTATAAAAACTTCAACATAACTTAGTAAGCCATATTGTAAAGATTCAATTTGTTGAATTCAGGATTCCTTCCTTCCTTCCTTCTTTCCTTTCTCTTTCTCTCTTCTTTCCTTTCTTCTTTCTTTTTTTTGAGATAGGGTTTTGCTGTGTCACCCAGGCTAGAGTGTCGTGGTGCCATCATAGCTCACTGCAGCCTCAACCTCATGGGCTCAAGCAATCCTCTAATCTCAGCCTGCTGAGTAGCTGAGATCACAGGCATGTGCCACACTGCTTGGCTAATTTTTATACATTTTTGTAGATATGGGGCCTCCCTATGTTTCCCAGAGTGGTCTTGTACTCCTGGGCTCAAGCCGTCCCTCCCAAATTGCTGGGATTACAGGCATTAGCCACTGCGCCTGGATAAATCGGGGATTTCTTTCATTAAATACATTGTTCTCTGAACAGAGCTACCTTGTAAACTTACTTTATATAGGATAAAAATAGCTTATACTCATATAGCACTTTAGTATTTATAAAGTGTTTGGACTTATATTGTTCATTTATAACCATTATTTATTGAAGATATATACCCGTCTCTGTTATCCTGATTTCTGGGCTAAAAGTAGTGATAATTGTTTGACTTATACTGTGTGCCGGGATTAGTGCTGTGTTAAGATGTTTTATCTCATGTAAAGTCTTATTTATTCCTCATAACAATCTGTGACTTAGGTCCTGTTATTATGGCCATTTACAGATGAGGCACAGAAAGATTAAGTAAACCATCCAAAGTTAAATTGGTAACAAATGAGAGAGCCAGGGTTCCAACCCAGATAGCTTGACTCAGTAGCCCAAGTTCTTAACCATTAACCCTGCGGAAGTGAGAGGCAAGAACATGGCTTTGCAAAGTTTCACTTAGCTTTGGGTCAGTTGCCTGTTCTTGATTTTGTATTAGTTCATTTACAAATGAGTGGCTTTCACAGGTTATTCATATTTTGATATTGCTAGAAAAGATAGAACTAAGACAGGACCTGAACTTACTAAAATATTTCCTCAAATTATTTAATCTTTCCAGCTTCCTGTTACCCTACCCTTCAGTTTGAGAAGGGTTCCTCAGCAGAATAAATAAATCAATACAAAATCGTGTGTCTATATACAAAATCAAAAGCATTTGACCTGCTTTTTTTCCTTTAATGAATAATATAATTGTGGAAATGCATCCTAGAGGTGCTTATGTTTTATTAGAGGTTTATTAGTATGTTAAAGCTGATGACTCTATTGTAGATTTCTCAAGATAAGGAAATGGGTCATTTAAGGCTTTGGGAGAAAGATGTTAAACAGAAAGATTCTCATTTAGGGAGAACAATTTTTATTCAATTTCCAAAAATACCTTTTTACAGTATATTTGAGATGTTCTGTGGGGTTTCTTTCAGTGAGATAGATATGGATTTGGATAACAGCCCTTGCTATCCAACCCCATGTGGCTATTAAGCGCTTGAATTATGATTAATGCTAATGAGGAACTAAATTTTTAATTTAATTTAAATGAGTTAAAATTTAAATTTAAAAACTGGTCCTTCATCCAGTTATCATAAACTTTTAAGTATGTTTTGAACAACTTGGATCTACTTTTTCAGCTGTAAAGTTTTGAAATCGAAGTAGTGATACAAGTATTTCTGATGAAAATTTAGTGTACGTATTGACTAGAACTGTAAGTGTAATAGATATACATTGGCTTTCAAAGGCTTACTCTGAAGAAACGAATGTAAATATTTCAATTCTTATATTGACTGTATGTTGAAATGATAATACTTTGCTTACATTGAGTTAAATAAAATATAATTAAAATTAACTTTCACATTGTATGTGTCCATTGGATACCACTGCACTATAACTTAAAAATGTGAGGAATACATTTAGAATAAAACTTTTCACAGACACCCCATCATGGACTAATCACATCCTTCGATTAAGAAAATACTAAAATATTGGGTATCTGGTTTTAGAGTGGATATGCATGTACGCACACAAGTATATATATACATGTAAGATGTAAGATGTGATTCAACAGCAACACTTTTTTTCCTCTGAGTGCATGGGTGTAGGAAGGTATGGATTTTGACTCAATAATCAGGTAGCTGTTTTCCTAGGAAATGTGGTAAGTTGAATGGATGGCTTAGATAGATGTCGCCAACAAAAATGAACAATAAAGTACAATGTAGAATCTATTCTTATTATCTAAGTATACTGAATTGAACCAAACAGTTAACTCAAAAAGATAAAGTCAAACATTTCACATTCTAAATCTAATACATTATGAGAGGATGTGTTCCTTTCTCTTCCTTATCTCTTCTGACACGATAACTTTGAAATGTTTTTCCTTTCCAAGAACTTTAGTTTGCAAAATATGTCAAGAGTTTGGTGAAAATGGGAGATACAGAAAGGACCTTTGTGTTTTTATGTTATTCTCTGTATATAGAAACTAAAATTTCCTTGCCTGGCTTTATCAGAGAACTGTACCTATCCTTGACAGTGAGTTTGGATTAGTGTGTAATGTGGTCTAATTTATGTTTCAGTTTGCTAGGTTTTCACCTTACCAAAGCAATTTAAGGAGTGGCATTGCTCAGCAGGCTTAGGGGCTATTTGGACATTCAGAAGCTCAGTTTTAGGTCTTTCACTGGCACTTATTTGCAATGTGAGCTCACTATACTTTTCTTTTTCCCAATGCTGGTTTGTCAACCTAAAGATATTAAGAGTTGTAAGAACTTTTCATGTGCAGTCTGTTAAATATGATTTTAGTTGTTGTTAGTCAAACTGCAGGCACTAATGATGCCTCTATATTAACTGGAAGGAACTATTTTAATATTTCAAACTTGACTTTCCTAATAATATAATTTCTTTAGGTATCCTTATTACTGAAGAATAAACATGTAGGCTGTAATGGTCTCTTTGTCCCATTCTGGTTATAATACAAATGAATAATATTTTATTGGCTCTACATTAAAATCCTATCAGATAGCCTGGGCAGCTATTATTATCTCTGTTTTACAGAGGAGAAAAATGTGTCTCAAGGTTTATTCACCACTAAGTAACAGAATTGGAACTCAAACTCAGGTTTCTGATATCTATTGCTGTGCTCTGAAACATACTTCCAAATGTTTTAAAAAATTTTACTTAATAATTTCAATGTAATAAGGATCTTTTAAGTTGAAACTCTAGATATACATGTGAGGTAAATTATTCGAAACAGTTTAATGTTCAAAAAATATGGAAGCAAATGAGTAAGACCTCTGAGAAACATTTATTTTATGGAAATAGATGGTTATTTGGTGTTTGGTTATTTATTCCTTTCATCCTTAATACAACAAATCTTTAAGTGCCTATTACATGCCAGACACTTTCCTACCACAACACACGTGACGTATGTTGTCCTTGCTTTCATGGAGCTTAGATCTAGCAGTACAATGCTTTTTAAACACACGAAATATGTGGGAATGAACACACAACAGAATCAATAGCACATACCAGAAATGAAAGATAATTGTTAGATTTGAGTTTTTGTTTCTCTCTTATTTTTCTCAATGACGTTTTTTAGTTCATACATTTCTCACAGACAATGATACAAAATGCCAATGCATTAGGAGGATATTCCTTATATCATGCCCTACTTATATGTCTTTGTATTTGGATGAGGAGTAATGGAAATGAAAGAGAGTAGACTGAAAAGCCAGCAGATAATGCAAGTAGAAAGTCAATGAAATAATTTCATTTACAAAATGTGGGTTGATAGTCATTCTTCAGATATGGTTTATTAAGTAGTGGACCTGTTTGTTATTTGGGACTCAATGGAACTTCAGGTTTCAGGTCTAATTATTACTACCCCTTGAGCTCTTGCCATCTTACCTGCTAATTGGTTAATATTTTGATGCCTAATTATGGGGTAGTGAATGATGCACTAGAAATTCCAGTTTAGTGAAACCATGAAAGCAGAAATGATCGTAGCAGTTAATACTATAATATGCCCAATCTTCCAATTCTCATCAATTTCTCCTCAAATAAATTGACTTGGAATATGCATTGTTTTAAGTGTTTTTCCCCAAGACATGTTACAGCTCAAAGATGAGTCTCGGACTTATAAATAGTTGCTTTCTGTCAAAATCACATGTGGCCTGACATAATCTGAGTTTCAGATTAGGAAGAAAAACATATCAATAAAAATGCATGGCAGATGATAGTATTTGTTTGCTGTATATCATTAGAACAATTTTATTCAAAATAAAACAAAGTTGTTGTTATTTTCACTGCTTCTCTTTGGAAAGGGGATTTGTGGATTCAACTTGGTTTCCCAATGGATTAACTATTTAATCTTCTCAGAGTGTTAAAATAGTTTTCCCGTGGCTCAGGCATTATTTGAAGCAAATGACAGCCAAGCCAAAGGGACAGTTTTCATGATACCATACAATTATTATGAGATCTTTCTGAAGGTTTAAGAATAATTTTTGAGGTTACCTTGTTCTTTTTTTTTTTTTTTTGCAATTATTAAAAATGTTTAAAGCTGGCGTTGTGGTGTGTGTCTGTAGTCCGTGCCACTTGGGAGGCTGAGGTGGGAAGATCGCTTGGGGCTAGAAATTCAAGGCTGCAGTGTGCTGTGATCACTCCTGTGAATAGCCACAGCACTCCAGCCTGGGTAACATGAAACCCTGTCTAAAAAAAAAAAAAATATATATATATATATATATATATATAATATAGTAAACCCTTATAATTATTGACGAGATAGATTTTAAAGTTGAAAGGGATCTTGAAAGGATTAATTGGTTGAGGCCCCTTCTTCGAGATAGTTGAGGTGTTAGAGGCCCAGAAAAGTTAAAAGGAATTGATTGAGGTCACATGACTAGTAGCTCAAGTCTTCTTGATTAGTGCTGTGGATTTTCTAGGACTTCGTGTTTTGCTAACATACATCGAAGAAATAATTTTTATATTAAAATAACCTACAATTTTAATCCCTTAAGCATTCCTTATATAATTTTAGTTTGACATTTAGATAAGGTCGCTCACTGTCAACCCATTATTTTGACTTTAGAAGCACCTCAGTAGTAGGAACTTGATCAGTGATTCTAACAAAGATCTCTCAGAAGTAAAGGGAGAGGAACCGCAGGGGTAGAAACCCAGGTCTAAATTTTGAGGTTTCTGGTATATTAAAATATAAAGAAATGCCAGAACTGAGTTATAAAAAAATGTAGACTGTTTTTAACATTTGCAAGTAGCACATTAATGCTTTCACAACAACCACAGAAATAAAATTCGTATGTAGTCTAATTTGAAAATAATTTTAAACATGTAAATAGAAATTCTTTAGTGAATTCCAGGCCTGAGACATGTGGCTTCCCTGCTTCCTCCCACTTTGGTTCTTAATACTTTACTCCAACAGACTAAAGGATTATGGCACATTGCAGTAATAACAACCTCACTAAACGGAAGGTGGCTGGAGTGTGGGGTGGGGGTGGGGTGGAGTGAGGCGTATTTTTTGGCATCTGGAATGGAAGATGGAGGCAGAAATCTGAGTGGTTTAGAAAGACCTCCTTTTGAGTGTTACTTCACTAATTAGGTGGTTCTTAACCAGACCCATTTCAGAAGGAAATACAGAGTACATTTTGATTGTAATGGAGGCCTGTCACCCCAAAAGCATCCTAAATCCCACATCTACACAAAGCTTTTCTAGACTGATGTCATGCAGAAAAATTTCTGCCATTTGGGGTCTTAGACCTGCCATATATGATTCTTCTTTCTCTCCCTCTGAAATTCCAGTAGGAAATGGCTTGAAATGTTCAAAACCTCAAAGAATATTTAAGCACTATTACAATAGAACATTTGAAGGACATTGGATTATTGACTTGAGACAAGTAGATATCTGAGTTCCCAGACTGTAATAAAGGTCATTCAGGATTTAACCCCAGGGTCAATCTACTTGGGCACATCCATCTGCTTCTTCAGTAAGAGGAAAGAACCAAGAAAAATGTTCAAACTTAGTTATGGAATGGACCCACCCAGAGGCTAAAAACATCAAGGACAGCTCAAGGTTTATTCCCCATGTTTTGGGTATCTTAGTGTGTAGTAAGATGTTACCTTTTGAGACTGGATTTGAATTATTCTCAACTTTGGAGAGTTGTGTCTGTCACGTAGGCCTGATAATATCATAGATCTCTCAATATGATGAAGGAATTACATTTTTTTCAGAATAGATATCCACATTATTTGATACAACTACTAAGTCAGCTAGGAGTTGTTCTAAATAAGTCTTTTATCTTTCAGCAAGTGGGAACAAGAGACCTTGGAGAGTCAAGCTGTAGTTTATTATGATGTGGCATATTGATCACATGGTACTAATGAGGCACAGGGCATCTCTAGCCTCAATTGTATTCCTTCTTATTTACTTTTTTGGATCAAAATTCATTCATATAATATATAATTAATGAGTGTTCATTGTGTACTGGAATCACATAAGCTGGAGGCATTAAAGTAATTGAAGGCAATGTGCTATAATAAAATGAGCATTGCATGGTTAGAAAACTGTTTTGGTTTAGACTCTTACCCCTGATAAATTTGGTTTTCCCTCAGTAATTCTCCCCTGGATTTGAGAAAGGATCACGAGACAACCATGTGAAAGCACTTGAAAAATGGTTTTTATACAAACATAGGTAGTAATATTATTAGATAAAGTTGGTATAACCAACTGTTATGGTTTGAATGTGTCCCTCCGAAAGATCATGTGTCGGAAACTAATCCCCTATGCAACAATGTTGGGAAGTGGAGCCTAAGAAGTGATTAGTTCATGAGGGCTCTGCCCTCATTAATGGATTAATGTCATTATTGAGGGAGTAGTTTCATTTTCTTGAGAGTGGCTTTGTTATAAAAGAGTTTAGTCCCCTCTTGTTCTCTTGTGCATGCTCTCTTTCCTTCTGCCTTCCGCCTTAGGATGAGGCAGCAAGAAAGACCGTGCCAGATGCAGGCCTGCAGGCCTCTTGACCTTGGAGTTCCCAGCCTCTAGAACTGTAAGAAATACATCTCTGTTCATTATAAATAACCCAGTCTGTGGTATTTTGTTATAGCACCACAAAATGGACTAGGACACCAACGATGGGCATGTTGATTATATTCCAAACTCTAGCAATTGGATTAGTTATTCTTTGATGTACAACCTATAACTTGAATTTGTAAAGTGCTTTAAAGATGTCTGTATCTGGTATCTGTTCTTTTGCTTTTTGAGTATCTCTTACTTACACCACTATAAGTGATATAACAGTATATATAAATACTTCCAAGATCCTTATTCTATCTAGTCTCCCCGTTTTCTTTTGCTTTCAATATATAAATTACATGCCATACTGCTCTACTCTATCAAATTCATCCTTTTATAGTTTATTAGAATTCACTATTTTTATTCTTTCTTTTTCCACAAAGCCTTTTAATTAGTACAGTTCTTCGTGTTTGTAAAGTTACTAGCATATACTTTGTGAGATTAACAGTAGTTTTGAGTTATACTTTTTACTAGTTGCTCAACCTAATGTAAGAGAATGGTAACTAAAGTGGATAGTAAAAATGTGAATTTTCCTTCTGAATTAGGTTGCACCAGATTTTTGGAAATATTGCTAATGCTTTCCTTTTGCTTCCTTTCATCAACCTTGGCAAGAAGTATTACACTAGGCTGTGGATTAAAGAGCACTGTAAGGGGTAAACTGAGTAAAAGGAGCAGAAGTAATAATATAAAAATTTTAATTATACATTAACTTTTTTGATAAATTTTTTTTTTTCTGGGACCTGGAGCTACTGGGGCAATGTGCCTGCAATACTCATTAATAGAACTTATATAAAGACTTGCCTGAAGGCATTTTAGAACAAGACTGATATTTAGAACCAGAAAGTATATCTTGTAAGCTTGTCTGAAAGTATATCTTGTAAGCCTGTCTAATGATCTCAAAATCAGTTTATAATTCCATAAGAAAGTTATTTTTATTCAGTTTTTTCCTATTATTGAAATAGGTTAATCACATTAGAAAAATTATCAGGAAAAGATAAGAAAAACAATCAATCATAATTCCCTAATACAATTACTACTAGCATTTTGCTATATTTCTTTTTAGTCTGTTTTAATATGTGTACCTACAGTTTTTTGAAATTGTTGTAATCAGTGTGTTGATACCCTTTAGTAGCTTGATATTTACCCCTCTAACACATAGCATAAGAATTTGTCCATCTTGGTCGTCGTGTGGTGGCTCACGCCTGTAATCCCAGCACTTTGGGAGGCTGAGGTGGGCAGATCACTTGAGGTCAGAAGTCTGAGACCAGCCCGGCCAGCATGGTGAAACCCTATCTCTACTGAAAATACAAAAATCAGCTGAGCATAGCAGCAGGCACCTGTAATCCCAGCTACTTGGGAGGCTGGCGGAAGAGAATCACTTGAACTCGGGAGGCCGAGGTTGCAGTGAGCTGAGATCATACCACTGCACTCCAGCCTGCGTGATAGAGCCAGGCTCTGTTAAAAAAAAAAAAAGAATTTGTCCATCTTTATATTAAGGAAGGGCATTTTGAGTAACATGCTAAATATTATACACCATCTGCTTTATTTCAATAACTCAGTACAATATGCATTAAATTCAATATATCAGTGATTTAATTGACATGACTTTATTGTTTAGTAAGGGCATTAATTTCATTTTTATAGGAACTATGCTGTCTCCTTTGATTCTTTATAATGTTTCATTTCTACTGATGAACACTGACTTTACCAAAGAGTGTTTATTGGAATTGATGAGAGTGAATAGTGCTGCTCACCCAGAATATATGGGTAAGCATTATGGTACTGAGGATGTTTTCCAGAAAAAGATATATTGATATTTAATTTTAACTTTTCACCTATATCTATGTAAAGACACAATGTATTAGGATGAAGTAGATATTTCCCAGCACATTATTCCAAGCCAGTGATGGTAAATCAAACACAAGACCATAACTAGTTCATGTTTCTTGAAAATAAGTGAGTTTCTAAGGTGTTTATTTTGCTTGCTTTCACCTCAGTTCAACACAAAACACTTCTCTTTGAGTAGCGTGTTGGTCTGTTAGTCTTCACCTGTCCTGTCCTAAAGTGGAGGTTGGCAACTGCTAATTAAACATGAGATTGCAGATTTCATTCCTGGTTATTTGACCTGCCATTTGAAGTTCCTTAATTCCAGTGTGACATCTGTGACATTTTCAAGTGTCAATTTAGGCAATACAATATGAGGCTTTTGAATTTTAGTTTGCTAACTTGCCCTTAGATTGACAACAGATTCCATCTGTCCTTGATAATATTCTTATCTATTTTGTTACATGAGAGGAATTGGATCTTCTGTTGCCTCTGTAGCAGATTGGGTTTTGGTTTCTTTAGTTAGCTTTGGCTCTAAATTTTTTATTAACTTTATATAACCTAATCATAATTTTTCACAAGTGTGTGTTCTATAACGTCAGGCTGCCTTTGAATTCCTGTCTTGCTTAACTTTTTTCAGATGACGTTCTTCATGCCCCAAGTGGACAAACTCAGCCTTTCCTGAGTTTCTGGGTCAGTCCTCAATAAAGCCACAAGTAAATCACAGCAGTAGTTTTGTTCCACCAACCCATTAGTGTGAAATTTTTTGGCTGCTACTCCAGACTTATTATTAATTATTCCTGTGCTTTTAGGATCATAGCCTTCCCTTTAACCTCCTATTTTACTTGTCCAAACTTGGCTTTTGTCTTGGTTTCCTGATTTAGATCTCTTTCCCCGTGTCTTGAATCCAAACCCACTTGACAAAGTGAAATTATTGAAAGCCCCCTCTCTGTGGAGAGGGAAACTTGTCCCCTTTTGTCCCAACTGGGGTCTCCTTCAACTCATGTGGGCTGCACAGAACTGGCAGCTGCCACCAGAGTTATTCCACTTGTATACATAGGCTGGCACTGATCTGTTCTAGGTCATCTCTGGACATTACTTCACTTCCATGCCATCCAGTTTAGTTGTCCAGCTTTCTACTTTACCCCATTCAACCTGGAGGCCCTAGGATGTTTTGAGACTAAAATCACATGGGATCTAGAAGCTGTGATTTCCATGTGTGTCTCAGTCCATTTTCTGTTGCTATAACAGAATACCAACAGGGACGACTTATACAGAAAATAAATTTATTTAGCTCCTGGTTCTGGGTGCTGACATCTGATGAGGGCTTTCTGGCAGCATAGTACCATGGTGAAGGACATCACATGGCAAGAGGGAGGGTGTGTGTCTGCTCAAGTCTTCTTCTTCTTACAAAGCCACTAGTTTCATCATGGGGGCCTTCCTCTATGACCTTATCTAATCCTTATTATCTCCCAAAGGCCCTACCCTCAAACAACATAATGAATTTGGGGATTAAGTTTCTAATACATGAAATTTGGGGACACATTCAAATCATAGCAGTATGGGATTGACATGAAACACACACACCAAAACATAAAATCCACTAAGGAGTTGAATGAATCTGCCCAATATGGTATAAAATATATTAATGTTCACAAAAAAATAAATTGATATGTTTCTTTCTTTCTTTTTTTTTTTTTGAGACGAAGTCTTGCTCTTGTCCCCCAGGCTGGAGTGCAATGGCGCCATCTTGGCTCACTGCAACCTCTGACTCCCAGGTCCAAGTGATTCTCCTGCCTCAGTCTCCCGAATAGCTGGGATTACAGGTGCCTGCCACCAAGCCCGGCTAATTTTTATATTTTTAGTAGAGACAGGGTTTCACTATGTTGGCCAGGCTGGTTTTGAACTCTTGACCTCAGGTGATCCGCCCACCTCGGCCTCCCAAAGTGTTGGCATGACAGGTGTGAGCCACCACACCTGACCCTTAATTTTATTTTCTTTTGCAGCATGACTTATGGAAAAAAGCATGGACTTTATTTATTTACGTTTTTATTTTTTTAAGGTTGTTTTTTTTTTTTCCAGGGTCTTAGGGTTTTGCTATGTTGACCAGGCTGGTCTGAAACTCCTGAGCTCAAGAGATCCTCCTCCCTCAGTTTCCCAAAGTGCTGGGATTGTAAGCATGAGCCACCGTGCCCAGCCAAGCATGGACTTTAGAATCACAAATATTTGAGTTCAGAATTTCGGATGGCCACTTAACTTTTATGAGCCTTAGTTTTCTCATGTATAAAATAGGGTTAATCCCTTAATCCCTATCTCACAGGGTTGTTAAGATTGTTAGAATGTTCTTTAGAATTGTTTGTGAGATGTTAGATTCTTTTTTCTTTTTTAGTTTTATCCCTCCTCTTCTTTTTTCTCCTCCTTCTATCTGCTGTTTTCCTCTTT